>NT_187683.1:0-186203 GCF_000001405.40 Homo sapiens | reverse complement strand
GAATTCCATTCTAGCACTTGTGAGCATGTGTCTTTGCACCAGTCATGTCTTCTATTTTTTTTTTTTTTGAGATAGAGTCTCACTGTGTTCCAGCCTCTGGAGTAGCTGGGACTACAGGCACACACCACATACCCAGGTAATTTTTTTCATATTTTTAGTAGAAACGGGGTTTTGCCATGTTGGCCAGGCTGGTCTTGAACTCCCAACCTCAGATGACCTGCCTGCTTCGGCCTCCCAAAGGGCTGGGATGGCAGGCCTCTGAGGCTGGAGTACAGTGGTGTGATCTCAGCTCACTGCAACCTCCGCCTCCCGAGTTCAAGCAATCCTCTTGCTTCAGCCCCGAGTAGCTGTAATTACTGGCGTGCGCCACCACACCCAACTCATGTTTGTATTTTTAGTAGAGATGGGGTTTCACTGTGTTGGCCAGGCTGGTCTTGAACTCCTGACCTCAAGTGATCCAGCCGCCCCTGCCTTCCAAAGTGCTGGGATTACATGCAGGAGCCACCCGGCCCAGCCCGTCTTCTATTTAAGCCTCATTTTCCTCATTAAGTCATCATTACCTCTTTCTCCTCACACATAGTGAAATTCAAAGTCTCACTATTTTTTTTTCTTTTTCTTTTTCTTTTTCTTTTTTTTTGAGACGGAGTCTCACTCTGTCGCCCAGGCTGGAGTGCAGTGGCGCGATCTCAGCTCACTGCAAGCTCCGTCTCCCGGGTTCACGCCATTCTCCTGCCTCAGCCTCTTGCGTAGCTGGGACTACAGGCGCCCGCCACCACGCCCGGATAATTTTTGTATTTTTTTTTAGTAGAGACAGGGTTTCACCGTGTTAGCCAGGATGGTCTTGATCTCCTGACCTCATGATCCACCTGCCTCGGTTTCCCAAAGTGCTGGGATTACAGGCGTGAGCCACCGCGCCGGGCCTCACTCCTGTAATCCTAGCCGTGCGCCCCAGGCCCATCCCACCGTCATCTTCCAAACATCATTTTCAACCCTCCTGGCCTCATAGTTATTATTGTATTACCCCAGTTATCTTCCTGCCCCAGGGCACAGGCAGATGCCATTTCATTCTCTCCAGAGCCTCCTTTCTCCTGACAGCCACATGATTAACTCAAGTCTGAACGCATTTGCTCAGATGCCTTCTTTCTCTGTGAGGTCCATCTGGACAAACCTATTTAATATTGCTAGCTGCCATTTCAATCACTGTAAGTCTGTTCTACTTTGTCTTTTCCTTCCATAGCATCATTCCCTCCTGTGTGCTATCCTGACGTTGACCGATGGTGTGTCTCCTCCTGCTAGAATCTAAGTGCTGCACAGTCAAGATATCTGCCTGGCTGACTGTTACAGTGTAGTTCACTGTGTATACTATGCACTTGATGAATATATATATATAATAGTTTTGTTTTTGTTTTTCTGTGAGATGGAGTCTCGCTGTGTCGTGCAGTGGAGTGGAATGCAGTGGCGCGATCTCAGCTCACTGCAACCTCTGCATCCCAGGTTCAACAATTCTCCTGCCTCAGCCTCCTGAGTAGCTGGGATTACAGGCGAGCACCACCAGGCCCGGCTAATTTTTGTATTTTTAGTAGAGATGGGGTTTCACCATGTTGGTCAGGCTGGTCTCGAATTCCTGACCTTGTGATCCAACCACCTTGGCCTCCCGAAGTGTTGGGATTACAGGTGTGAGCCATGATGCCCAGCCTAAGTTTTGTATTTTTAGTAGAGACAGGGTTTCGCCATGTTGGCCAGGCTGGTCTCAAACTCCTGACCTCAAATGATGCACCATCTCGGCCTCCCAAAGTGCTGGGATTACAGGCGTGAGCCACCACGCCTGGCCTCGATGAATATTTTGAATGAATGCCACGTTTTTAGTGTCACTGGGAGGCTCTGATCGCTCGTCTGAGCTTAGAAGGACCAGTTACTCACCAGGAAAGGTGGGGTCTTCAGGTGCAAGGCTGGTGTTCTCAATGTCGCCTGGAAAAGGAGATAAAGAAAAAAAAGTAAGGGTTTTTGGTTTCCTCCGGTCTTGCCATTCTTTTTTTTTTTTTTTTTTTTTTGAGATGGAGTCTTGCTCTGTCGCCCAGGTTGCAGTGCGGTGGTATGATCTCGGTTCACTACAACCCCCGCCTCCCGGGTTCAAGCGATTCTCCTGCCTCAGCCTCCTGAGTAGCTGGGACTACAGGTGTCCGCCACTGCGTCTGGCTAATTTCTGTATTTTTAGTAGAGACGGGGTTTCACCGTCTTGGCCAGGCTGGTCTCGAACTCCTGACCTTGTGATCCACCCGCCTTACCATTCCTTTCTCTGTTCCCTCCTCCTTCCTGCTTCTGGTGTTCTTCCTCACATGACCAACCAGGCACCCAGGAAGTGGACGTCCCTTGGACACCCTCCCCATCACTCTCTGGGGATCCCTCAGGGCTCCAGGTAGCACATGGCGGCGAAGGGTGTGGGGAATTGAGCATTTCCTCACCTGTGACCAGGAGCTTCACTGGCTCACTGGGGAAAGACCAGGCATGGTTGTTATAGGAGCCAAAACATCGGTATGTCCCTCTGTGGGCTGTGGTCACAGGGCCCAGGGGGAACTCCGCCTGGACCTTCCCGTATCCGCGCTGTACGTGGCTGGATCTTCCCTCCTTGAGCAGTAAGAACATGCTTGTTGCAGTGTCTAGACGGCAGTAGAAGGTCACCTTCTCTCCCGAGATCACTTCGGGTCCAGGATGAACCGAGAGGGTGGGTGTGTCATACATTTCTATGAGAGAAGGTGGGGCCACCACACCAGAAACTCAGTGATGAGCAGCCAGCTATTTTTTTTTTTCTTTCTTTAGAGATGGAGTCTCTCTCTGTCGCCCAGGCTGGAGTGCAGTGACACGATCTTGGCTCACTGCAACCTCCGCCTCCCGGGTTCAAGCGTTTCTCCTGCCTCACCCTCCCAAGTAGCTGGGACTACAGGGGCCTGCCACCATGCCTGGCAGCCAGCTTTTTTTTTTTTTTTTAATTATTATTTTGGTCAAATACACACAATAGAAGATTTACCGTCTAAAACCATTTTTAAAAATGATACAGGGTCTTGCTCTGTTTCCCAGGCTGGAGCGCCGTGGCACTATCTTTGCTTACTGAAGCCTCGACCTCCTGGGTCAGGAGTTTGAGACCAGCCTGGTCAACATGGTGAAACCCCGTCTCTACTAAAAATGCAAAAATTAGCCGGGTGTGGTGGCACATGCCTGTAATCTCAACTACTTGGGAGGCTGAGGCAGGAGAATTGAGGCTGAGGCAGAGGTTGCAGTGAGCTGAGATTGTACCACTGCACTGCAGCGAGACTGTCTCAAAAAAAAAAAAAAAAGCCCCGGCCAGCCGCCCCGTCCGGGAGGTTGGGGGGCAGCCCCCGCCCGGCCACTGCCCCGTCTGGGAGGTGGGGGGGCGCCTCTGCCCGGCCGCCCCGTCTGGGAAGTGAGGAGCCCCTCTGCCCGGCCGCCACCCCGTCTGGGAGGTGTACCCAACAGCTCATTGAGAACGGGCCATGATGACGATGGCGGTTTTGTCGAATAGAAAAAGGGGAAATGTGGGGAAAAGAAAGAGAGATCAGATTGTTACTGTGTCTGTGTAGAAAGAAGTAGACATAGGAGACTCCATTTTGTTCTGTACTAAGACAAATTCTTCTGCTTTGGGATGCTGTTAATCTATGACCTTACCCCCAACCCCGTGCTCTCTGAAACATGTGCTGTGTCCACTCAGGGTTAAATGGATTAAGGGCGGTGCAAGATGTGCTTTGTTAAACAGATGCTTGAAGGCAGCATGCTCCTTAAGAGTCATCACCACTCCCTAATCTCAAGTACCCAGGGACACAAACACTGCGGAAGGCCGCAGGGACCTCTGCCTAGGAAAGCCAGAGACCTTTGTTCACATGTTTATCTGCTGACCTTCTCTCCACTATTGTCCTATGACCCTGCCAAATCCCCCTCTCCGAGAAACACCCAAGAATGATCAATAAATACTAAAAAAATTAAAAAAAAAAGAATAAATGAGTAGCTGTGTTCCCCTGCCAGAACCTCCAAACAAGGTCCAAAGACCCTGAGCAAATGAAAAGGCACAGACAAAAAATATATATATTTCAACACAAGTATATGACACAGAATATAGAAATAACTTTTCCTAATCAATCAAAATATAAGCAACCCAATTTAAAAATAGGCAAAAGATTTAAATAGACATTTCACAAAAGAAGATATTTGAATGGACATGAAATACTGTTGTGAGCTGCATAATGACATTTTGGCCAACAATGTACCACATATATGATGGTGGTCCCATAAGATTATAATGAAACTGAAAAATTCCTATTGCCTGATGACATCATAGCCTTCCTAGCACAAAGTATTGCTCATGTGTTTTTGGTGTTGCTGGTATAAACAAACCTAATTGTATAGCACATACAATTATGTATGTATATGTAACTATGTATAATACTTGATAATAATAATAAACAACCATATTGTTAAAAAAAAAAAAAAGCTAATTTTTTTTTTTTTTTAGAAAACCACCACCTGGCTGGGTGTGATGGCTCACACCTGTAATCCCAGCACTTTGGGAGGGTGAGGCGGGCGGATCATCTGAGGTCAGGAGTTCGACACCACCCTGGCCAACATGGTGAAACCCCATCTCTACTAAAAATACAAAATGTGGCGTAGTGGTGGGTGCCTGTGATCCCAGCTACTTGGGAAGCTGAGGCTGGAGAATCACTTGAACCCAGGAGGTGGAGGTTGCAGTGACTGGAGATTGCACCACTGCACTCCAGCCTGGGTGACAAGAGCGAAACTCCGTCTCAAAACAGATAAAAAAAAAAAAAACCCACCACCTGTGATGGGTGAGGGAAGCAAAGTGTAAGCCACTGCGCCTGGCCCACAGGCATTGTTTTTGAGGACATTCCTCAGTCATACCCCTGCATACAAATATCTATCTCAGAATCTGTGTCATGGAGAAACTGACTGAGGACACATCTGCTCCTAGGACGTAGAGACACGGTCTGCAGACAACCCCTTGTAGGCAAGGATTGTGATGGGGATCACCCCTCCTTCCAGCCTCCTACCGAGACAAGCAGTGTCTGAGTGGGGCTTGGAAGAGTTCATAGATGATGCTGCATCCCGGATGCAGACTGAGATCACTCTCCAGTTAGAGAACCGGACAGTTACCTGTTACCACCAGATCCAGCAAGTTGCTGGGCTCTGACCAGAGCTCCCCAACCCGATAGATGCAGCTGTATTGCCCTGCCATGCGGGAGTTCATGTCCGGGATGTAGAATTGGACTTTGTTAATCCGCTCAGGGGGTTTTGGTCTGTCCACGGCAAAAAGGCTTCCTTCAAAGTGCAGCTGGTATTCAACAGCCCCATAATTTCCCTGGCAACAGATGGTCACTTGCTTTTCCTTTGGAACCATGAAATGGGGCTCGGCCCAGATGAACGGTTTTGGGAGAGTCTCTGGAAGGGAATCAGAGGCTGGAGTTCCAGCGGAGCCCCCTCCCCCCAACCTTAGGCTCCACCCAGCTGCTGGCCCCAAGCTCTCCTGGGAAGCCAGCACCCTGTCCCCTCACCCCAGCCGTGCTTGGGTGGAAGGAGCTTGGCCTGAATCCGGAAGAGTGACCCTGGGCTTTGAAGGAAGGACTCACGCTGCTGGGCGCTGATCCTCTGACTCAGACACAGCCCTGGAAGACGGGAGTAATGAGACCTGTTGCCTCCCAGGCACACCGTGATCCCATTCCCCTTCCACGCCAGAACTCACCGACGCAGAGCAGGGCAGGGAGTGTGGAAGACATCGCTCAGATTCTGCCGGCCTAGTGCTGAGCAGTGGGGACTGAGCCGGGCGGGCCAGGGAGATAGATACACAGGAAGTGGTGGGTGAGCACCAGCGCCCATCACCAGAGCGCTTTCACGTTGACTGCTTTCATCAGAACGTTCACAACTCCCCTCCGCCTCTGACCATGAGCTTACAGAAAGGCCGTGGTCCCTCTGACACATCTGTGGTCTAGCCAGCAACTCTGACAATTGTCTGCTCAGCCCAAAATGCATTTCTGGGTCAACTTCTCAATTCTGCAATGTGGAGGTCGTACCCAGAGCTGACTGTGGGAAGTTGTGCCCAATCATGCCCAGAGGAAACCCCCTGAGAATCGTATAAAAACATAGGGAGTTTCACAGTGAGATACTGGAACAGGAATTAAAAGAAATTACAGAATGTGTAAACAAAAACTCAGTTGTATTTAAGAAAACCCAGTTCCCCCCGAGGAAGAGAAAGAGGTGGAGTCCTTTAAACATGAACTGCCTGTTTTTCTGTCTGTGGCTAGTGAGCCTTATCTCTCCCTTTCCCAGGCATTGTGAAGACCCTGTTTCTCTTGCCGTGCGGCTGCAAGGTCACTAGACAGGATAACCTCAAGTCGTAAAACATATTTTTCTTGAAAAGTAAGGAATAATGTGATGCATGTCTCAATTGAATAACTGCCTTTGTTTCTTGCTTCTGTAATATGCTTCCCCCTGCACAGATCTCCCCCAACCCCACAAAATGCTTAAAAGGTAACCGGACTCTCTGTTCGAGCCTCAGTCTTTTTGGATGTTAATCTGACTGGGGCCGGTGCACCTAAATAATAATAATAATAATAAATCCTCCTCAACCCCTCGGTCTCTCTGATTCCTAAATTATCCCTCAACAATACCATCTCACACCAGTCAGAATGGCCATTACTGAAAAGCCAGAAATTAACAGATGCTGGTGAGATTGTGGAGCAAAGGGGACACTTATACACTGTTGGTGGGTGTAAATTAGTTCAGCCACTGTGGAAAGCAGTTTGGTTTGGAGATATTTCAGAGAACTACAAACAGAGTTACCATTCAGCCCAGCAATCCCATCGCTGGGTATATAGCCAAAGGAAAATAAATCATTCTACCAAAAAGACACATGCACTTGTATGTTCATTGCAGCAGGATTCACAATAGTGAAGACATGGAATCCACCCAGGTCCCATCAGAGGTGGACTGGATAAAGACAATGTGATATGTATACACCACAGAACGCTATACAGCCTTGAAAAATCACAAGATTATGTCCTTTGCAGCAACATGGATGCAGCTAGAGGCCATTATCCTAAGCGAGTTAACACAGAAACAGAAAACCAAATACTGGCCAGACACGGTGGCTCAGGCCTGTCATCCCAGCACTTTGGGAGGCTGAGGCAGGTGGATCACCTTAGGTCGGGAGTTCGAGACCAGCCTGACCAACATGCAGAAACCCTGTCTCTACTAAAAATTCAAAATTAGCCGGGTGTGGTGGCACATGCCTGTAGTCCCAACTACTCGGGAGGCTGAGGCAGGAGAATTGCTTGAACCTGGAAGGTGAAGGTTGCAGTGAGCCGAGATGGTGCCATTGTACTCCAGCCTGGGCAACAAGAGTGAAACTCCATCTCAAAAAAAAAAAAAAAAAAGAAAAGAAAACCAAATACCACATGTTCTCACTTATAAGTGAGAGCGCTAAACATTGGGTAAGGAGGGGAGCAAGGCTTGAAAATCTACCTATTTGGTGACTAGATCATTAATGCAAGCCTCAGCATCATGCAATATACTCATAAAAAACCTGCACATGTATCTGCTGAATCTAAAAAGATAAAAATAGGGGTTTTGACGTTGGCTTCTCTGTGTACAGTATACATATGCTTGGATAAGTTAATTGGTTTCATCAGAATGGAATGATAACACTATCTTCTTCAAAGATAGTGTTATAATGTTTCAATAAAATAAAAGTGAAAAGAAAAGCTTTTCATTTAAAGAACTTAATAAGAAAAGAAACATTTCTTTTCTTTTTCTTTTTCTTTCTTTTTTTTTTTTTTTTTTGAGACAGAGTCTTGCTCTGTTGCCCAGGCTGTGGTGCAGTGGTGTGATCTCAGCTCACTGCAACCTCTGCCTTGTGGGTTCAAGCAATTCTCCTGCCTCAGCCACCTGAGTAGCTGGGACTACAGACACCCAACACCACGCCCAGCTCATTTTTGTACTTTTAGTAGAGACCGGTTTTTACCACGTTGGCCAGGATGGTCTCCAACTCCTCACCTCAAGTGAATCTTCCTGCCTCGGCCTCTCAAAGTGCTGGGATTACAGGTGTGAGCCACCACACCCAGCCAAGAAACATTTCTTTTAAGTAAGTAACTAACTCTCCACTTAATAAAAAAAAATTCTATGCAGAAGTTGTTAAGATCTACAGTAAGAAAAAAGAAATTCATGCATTTTATATATACACACATATATACATATATACCTTTTATATATATACACATATATACATTTATACATATATGTATACATATATACATATATGTGTATATATACTGCATAGTACCGTACATGTATATATACACATGCATATATACACATACATGTATATGCGTATATATACACATATATGTATATATACACACATGCATACATGCATATATATGTATACACACATGTATGCGTGTATACATACATATATGTATATACATACATGTATCCGTGTATACATACATATATGTATATACATACATGTATGCGTGTATACATACATGTATGCGTGTATACATACATATACATATATGTATATACATACATGTATATATACATGTATGTATATATGCATATATGTATATACATACATGTATATATACATGTATGTATACATATACGTATATGTGTATATATGTATATACATATATATATACATGTAAGGTACTATGTAGTTTTCAGCATCCACTGGGGCCTTGGAATATATCCTGGTGGATACATGTGACTACTGTACAAGACTAGTTGTATCTTCTTGAGGCAAACAAATGTGCTAATTCTTTTTTTTTTCTCTTTAAGACGGAATCTCACTCTGTCCCTCAAGCTGGGGTGCAGTGGTGCAATCTCAGCTCACTGCAACCTTCACCTCCTGGGTTCAAGCAATTCTCCTGTTCTAGCCTCCCAAGTAGCTGGGATTACAGGCGTGTGCCACCACACTCGACTAATTTTTGTATTTTTAGTAGAGACAGGGTTTCCCCATGTTGGCCAGGCTAGTCTCGAACTCTTGACCTCAAGTGATCAGCCCACTTTAGCCTCCCAAAGTGCTGGGATTACAGGCGTGAGCCACCACACCCAGCCCGCCTCCTTCTTATTTACTGAAGATTCAGTACTCGGTGCTGGCGTTTCCCCTTACACAGCTGTCATAACTCTGGGTGTTTTCTTTATCCTTCCCCCTACGGAGCGCTTGGATGCCCTCTATGGAGGAGACTTATGTAGGCTGGATCCTCAGACCTCAGCCACCCTCTCAGCCATAACATAGTTACCTTCACCAAAGAAATATAAGAATATTGTCTTTTATTATTTTGAGCTTTTAATTTTGACATAATTCCAGACTTGCAAAAATAGTTTAAAGAATTTCTGGCCAGGTGCAGTGGCTCACACCTGTAATCCCAGCACTTTGGGAGGCCGAGGTGGGTGGATTGCTTGAGACGAGCCTGGGGGAAAAAAAAATGCAAAAATTAGCCAGGTGTGGTGCTGTGCGCCTATAGTCCCAGCTACTTGGGAGGCTGAGGTGAGAGGGTCATCTGAGCCCAGGGAGGTAGAAGCTGCAGTGAGCCATGATCGTGCCACTGCACTCTAGCCTGGGTGACAGAGTGTTACCCTGTCTATAAAAAAAAAAAAAATCTGTAATTTCTTCATCCAGATTTCCCCAAAGTTAGCATTTTACCACATTTGCTTCATCATTCAGCCTCTCTCCCTCTCCCTCTCTCCCCGAAGAAAGTGTGTCTAATTTGCATATGATGCCCTAAACCTCTAATCACTTCAGGTTATATTTCCCAAAACCAAGGACATTCTGTTATTAATGTTCAAGGTCAAGAAATAGCACTGATATGACACTATTGTCTGATCTATCCACTTTATTCAAATTTCACCACTTGTTTTACCAGTGACATATATTTGGTTTAGGATTTAATCCAAGATTACACAATTTATTTAATTGTCATGTCTCTCTTATTTGGAGATGGAATCTTGCTCTGTAGCCCAGGCTGGAGTGCAATGGTGTGATCTCAGCTCACTGCAACCTCCGCCTCCTGGGTTCAAGCAATTCTCTTGCCTCAGCTTCCTGAGTAGCTGGGATTAGAGGCACCCACAACCACGCCCAGCTAATTTTTGTATTTCTAGTAGAGATGGGGTTTCGTCAAGTTGGCCAGGCTGGTTTTGAACTCCTGAACTCAACTGATCCACCTGCCTCAGCCTCCCAAAGTGCTGGGATTAGAGGCATGAGCCACCACGCCCAGCCTCCTTTAAAAAATAAAACTATAGACTTTATTCTGATTTCACCAGTTTTTCCACTAGCATCCTTTCTTCGCTCCAGGAGCTCCAGTGATCCGCCTGCCTCAGCCTCCCACCTGCCTCGGCCTCCCAAGGTATTGGGATTACAGGTGTGAGCCATCTGGATCTATTTAATTCAGCCTTAAGCCCACACCAGCATTCCTGGGACTGTCCCCCCTCTACAGACTCTAAGCCATGTTTGAGATGATGAATTTCAAGTCGTGATTCAATCACTTAAGTGGTAAGTGACACAGAGGATATTACTAATCTTTTTTTTTTTTTTTTTTTTTTTTGAGATGGACTCTCGCTCTGTCACCCATGCTGGAGTGCAGTGGCGCAATCTCGGCTCTCTGCAAGCTCTGCCTCCGGGGTTTATGCCATTCTCTTGCCTCAGCCTCCTGAGTGGCGCAATCTCGACTCACTGCAAGCTCTGCCTCCCGAGTTTATGCCATTCTCCTGCCTCAGCCTCCTGAGTAGCTAGGACTACAGGTGCCCACCACCACGTCCGGGTAATCTTTTTTTTTTTTTTTCAAAGTAGAGATGGGGTTTCACCATGTTAGCCAGGATGGTCTCCATCTCCTGACCTCGTGATCCGCCCTTCTCGGCCTCCCAAAGTGCTGGGATTACAGGCGTGAGCCACCGCACCCGGCCTTTTTTTGGTATTTAAAAATATAACTTTATTGAGATATAATTTACATGCCATACAATTACCCATTAAAAGTGCATAATTCAATGGTTTAAATTTTGTGGTATTCACGGAGTTGGTGCAACCGTCAACACAGTCTAATTTTAGAATGTTGTCATCACTGCCCTTCAGAACCCCATGCCGACCAGCTGCCCATCACCACGATCCCCTCACTCTCCCGGCCCTAGGCAACCACTCATCTTCTGTCTCTAAACACCAGAAGGTACTTTTCAAAAATTGTGGCAAAATACACATAACATACATTTTAATATTTAAGAAGTTTTCTAAGGCCAGGTGCAGTGGGTCATGCCTGTAATCCCAGCACTTTGGGAGGCCGAGGTGTGCGGATCACCAGGTCAGGTGATCCAGACTGTCAGGCCTCTGAGCCCAAGCTAAGCCATCATATCCCCCTGTGGCCTGTATGTACACATCCAGATGGCCGGTTCCTGCCTTAACTGATGACATTCCACCACGAAAGAAATGAAAATGGCCTGTTCTTGCCTTAAGTGATGACATTATCTTATGAAATTCCTTCTCCTGGCTCATCCCGGCTCAAAAGCTCCCCTACTGAGCACCTTGTGAACCCCACTCCTGCCCGCCAGAGAACAACCCCCTTTTGACTGTAATTTTCCTTTACCTACCCAAATCCTATAAAACGGCCGCACTCCTATCTCCCTTTGCTGACTCTCTTTCTGGACTCAGCCCGCCTGCACCCAGGTGAAATAAACAGCCTTGTTGCTCACACAAATCCTGTTTGGTGGTCTCTTCACACGGACGTGAGTGAAATTTGGTGCCATAACTCGAATCAGGGGATCTTCCTTAGGAGATCAATCCCCTGTCCTCCTGCTCTTTGCTCCATGAGAAAGATCCACCTACGACCTCTCGTCCTCAGACCAACCAGCCCAAGGAACATCTCACCAATTTTAAATCCAGTAAGCAGCCTCTTTTTACTCTCTTCTCCAACCTCTCTCACTATCCCTCAACCACTTTCTCCTTTCCACTCTTCAATCTCTCCCTTCTCTTAATTTCAGTTCCTTTCCTTTTCTGGTAGAGACAGGAGACGCGCTTTATTCGTGGACCCAAAACTCCAGCGCCGGTCATGGACTCGGGAAGGCAGCCTTCCCTTGGTGTTTAATCACGCGGGGACACCTCTCTGATTATTCACCCACGTTTCAGAGGTGTCTGACCACATGGGGATGCCTGCCTTGGTCCTTCACCCTTAGTGGCAAGTACTGCTTTTCTGGGGGGGCAAGAACCCCCAACTCCTTCTCTGTGTCTCTACCCCTTCTCTGCTTTTCTGGGGGGGCAAGAACCCCCCAACCCCTTCTCCTTCACCCTTAGTGGCAAGTACCGCTTTTCTAGGGGGCAAGAATCCCCCGATCCCTTATTTCTGTGCCCTGACGTCTTATCTCTGCACCCCGATCCCTTATTTCCACACCCCGACCTCTTGTCTCTGCACCCCAATCCCTTACTTCTGTGCCCTGACCCCTTTCCCGCTTTTCTGGAAGGTAAGAACCCCTGAACCCCTTCCCTCCATGTCTCTACTCTCTCTTTTCTCTGTGCTTGCCTCCTTCAGTATGGGCAACCTTCCACCCTCCATTCCTCCTTCTTCTCCCTTAGCCTGTGTTCTTAAAAACCTAAAACCTCTTCAACTCACACCTGACCTAAAACCTAAATGCCTTATTTTCTTCTGCAATGCTGCTTGACCCCAATACAAACTTGACAGTGGTTCCAAATAGCCAGAAAACGGCACTTTCAATTTTTCCATCCTACAAGATCTAAATAATTCTTGTTGTAAAATGGGCAAACGGTCTGAGGTGCCTGACATCCAGGCATTCTTTTACACATCGGTCCCTCCCTAGTCTCTATGCCCAGTGCAACTCGTCCCAAATCTTCCTTCTTTCCCTCCCGCCTGTCCCGTCAGTCCCAACCCCAAGCATCGCTGAGTCTTTCTAATCTTCCTTTTCTACAGACCCATCTGACATCTCCCCTCCTCGCCAGGCCGAGCTGGGTCCCAATTCTTCCTCAGCCTCCGCTCCTCCACCCTATAATCCTTTTATCACCTCCCCTCCTCACACCCGGTCCAGCTTACAGTTCCATTCCATGACTAGCCCTCCCCCAACTGCCCAGCAATTTCCTCTTAAAAAGGTGGCTGAAGCTAAAGGCATAGTCAAGGTTAATGCTCCTTTTTCTTTATCTGACCTCTCCCAAATCAGATAGTGTTTAGGCTCTTTTTCATCAAATTTAAAAACACAGCCCAGTTCATGGCTCATTTGGCAGCAACCCTGAGACGCTTTACAGCCCTAGACCCTAAGTCAAAAGGCCGTCTTATTCTCAATATACATTTTATTACCAAATCTGCTCCCAACATTAAATAAAGCTCCAAAAATTAAATTCTGTCCCTCAAACCCCACAACAAGACTTAATTAACCTCGCCTTCAAGGTGTACAGTAATAGAGTAGAGGCAGCCAAATAGCAACATATTTCTGAGTTGCAATTCCTTGCCTCCACTCCAGTATCCAGATGAGACAAACCCCAGCCACATCTCCAGCACACGAGAACTCCAAACGCCTGAACCGCAGCTGCCAGGGGTTCCTCCAGAACCTCTTCCCCCAGGAGCTTGCTACAAGTACTGGAAATCTGGCCACTGGGCCAAGGAATGTCCACAGCCTGGGATTCCTCCTAAGCCGCATCCCATCTGTGCGGGACCCCACTGAAAATCGGACTGTTCAACTCACCTGGCAGCCACTCCCAGAGCAGCTAGAACTCTGGCCCAAGGCTCTCTGACTCCTTCCCAGATCTTCTCGGCTTAGCAGCTGAAGACTGACACTGCCCGATCCCGATCGCCTCGGAAGCCTACAGGACCATCACAGACAGTCTAGGTAACTCTCACAGTGGAAGGTAAGCCCGTCCCCTTCTTAATCAATATGGAGGCTACCCACTCCACATTACCTTCTTTTCAAGGGCCTGTTTCTCTTGCCTCCATAACTGTTGTAGGTATTGACAGCTAGGCTTCTAAACCTCTTAAAACTCCCCAACTCTGGTGCCAACTTAGACAATACTCTTTCAAGCACTCCTTTTTAGTTATCCCCACCTGCCCAGTTCCCTTATTAGGCTGAGACACTTTAACTAAATTATCTGCTTCCCTGACTATTCCTGGACTACAGCTATATCTCATTGCTGCCCTTCTTCCCAATCCAAAGCCTCCTTTGTGTCCTCCTCTTGTATCCCCCCACCTTAACCCACAAGTATAGGATACCTCTACTCCCTCCTTGGTGACCAATCATGCACCCCTTACCATCTCATTAAAACCTAATCAACCTTACCCCGCTCAATGCCAATATCCCATCCCACAGCATGCTTTAAAAGGATTAAAGCCTGCTACAGCATGGCCTTTTAAAGCCTATAAACTCCCCTTACAATTCTCCCATTTTACCTGTCCTAAAACCAGACAAGGCTTACACATTAGTTCAGGATCTGCACCTTATCAACCAAATTGTTTTGCCTATCCACCCCGTAGTGCCAAACCCATATACTCTCCTATCCTCAATACCTGCCTCTACAACCCATTATTCTGTTCTGGATCTCAAACATGCTTTCTTTACTGTTCCTTTGCACCCTTCATCCCAGCCTCTCTTCGCTTTCACTTGGACTGACCCTGACACCGATCAAGCTCAGCAAATTACCTAGGCTGTACTGCTGCAAGGCTTCACAGACAGCCCCCATTACTTCAGTCAAGCCCAAATTTCTTCCTCCTCTGTTACCTATCTCGGCATAATTCTCATAAAAACACACGTGCTCTCCCTGCCAATCGTGTCCTAGTGATCTCTCAAACCCCAGCACCTTCTACAAAACAACAACTCCTTTCCTTCCTAGGCATGGTTAGCGTGGTCAGAACTCTTACACAAGAGCCAGGACCGCACCCTGTAGCCTTTCTGTCCAAACAACTTGATCTTACTGTTTTAGCCTAGCCCTCACGTCTGTGAGCAGCGGCTGCCGCTGCTTTAATAGTTTTAGAGGCCCTCAAAATCACAAACTATGCTCAACTCACTCTCTACAGTTCTCATAACTTCCAAAAATCTATTTTCTTCCTCACACCTGACGCATATACTTTCTGCTCCCCGGCTCCTTCAGCTGTACTCACTCTTTGTTGAGTCTCCCACAATTACCATTGTTACTGGCCCATACTTCAATCCGGCCTCCCACATTATTCCGGATACCACACCTGACCCCCATGACTGTATCTCTCTGATCCACCTGACATTCACCCCATTTCCCCACATTTCCTTCTTTCCTATTCCTCACCCTAATCACATTTAGTTTATTGATGGCAGTTCCACCAGGCCTAATCGCCACTCACCAGCAAAGGCAGGCTATGCTATAGTATCTTCCACATCTATCATTGAGGCTACCGCTCTGCCCCCTCCACTACCTCTCAGCAAGCCGAATTAGTTGCCTTAACTCAAGCCCTCACTGATGCAAAAGGACTATGCATCAATATTTATACTGACTCTAAATATGCCTTTCATATTCTGCCCCACCATGCGGTCATATGGGCTGAAAGAGGTTTCCTCACTACACAAGGGTCCTCCATCTTTAATGCCTCCTTAATAAAAACTCTGCTCAAGGCCGCTTTACTCCCAGAGGAAGCTGGAGTCATTCACTGCAAAGGCCATCAAAAGTCATCAGATCCCATTGCTCTAGACAATGCCTATGCTGACAAGGTGGCTAGACAAGCAGCTAGCTTTCCAACTTCTGTCTCTCACATCTATGCTTATGCTGATAAGGTAGCTAGACAAGCAGCTAGCATGCCAATTTCTGTCCCCCACAGCCAGTTTTTCTCCTTCTCATCAGTCACTCCCACCTACTCCCCCACTGAAACTTCCACCCATCAATCTCTTCCCACACAAGGCAAATGGTTCTTAGACCAAGGAAAATACCTCCTTCCAGCCTCACAGGCCCATTCTATTCGGTCGATATTTCATAGCCTCTTCCATGTAGGTTACAAGCTGCTAGCCCATCTCTTAGAACCTCTCATTTCCTTTCCATCCTGGAAATCTATCCTCAAGGAAACCACTTCTCAGTGTTCCATCTGCTATTCTACTACCCCTCAGGGATTGCTCAGGTCCCCTCCCTTCCCTACACATCAGGCTCGGGGATTTGCCCCCGCCTAGGACTGGCAAATTGACTTTACTCACATGCCCTGAGTCAGGAAACTAAAATACCTCTTGGTCTGGGTAGACACTTTCACTGGATGGGTAGAGGCCTTTCCCACAGGGTCTGAGAAGGCCACCGAGGTCATTTCTTCCCTTCTGTCAGACATAATTCCACAGTTTGGCCTTCCCACCTCTATACAGTCTGATAGCAGACCGGCCTTTATTAGTCAAATCAGCCAAGCAGTTTTTCAGGCTCTTGGTATTCAGTGAAACCTTTATATCCCTTACAGTCCTCAGTCTTCAGGAAAAGTAGAACAGACTAATAGTCTTTTAAAAACACACCTCACCAAGCTCAGCCACCAACTTAAAAAAGACTGGACAATACTTTTACCACTTTCTTTTCTCAGAATTCAGGCCTGTCCTCAGAATGCTAAAGGGTACAGCCCATTTGAGCTCCTGTATAGACGCTCCTTTTTATTAAGCCCCAGTCTCATTCCAGACACCAGACCAACTTGGAATGTGCCCCCAAAAACTTGTCATCCCTACTATCTTCTGTCTAGTCATACTCCTATTCACCATTCTCAACTACTCACACATGCCCTGCTCTTGTTTACACTGCTGGTTTACACTGTTTTTCCAAGCCATCACAGCTGATATCTCCTGGTGCTATCCCCAAACCACCACTCTTAACTCTTGAAGTAAATAAATAATCTTTGCTGGCAAGGCTATGCTGAACCTCCTTAGGCACTCTCTAATTAGATGTCCTAGGTCCTCCCAATTCTTAGACCTTTAATACCTGTTTTTCTCCTTTCCTTATTCCATTTAGTTTTTCAATTCATACAAAACTGCATCCAGGCCATCACCAGTAATTCTAAATGAAAAATGTTTCTTCTAACAATCCCACAATATCACCCCTTACCACAAAATCTTCCTTCAGCTTAATCTCTCCCACTCTAGGTTCCCACGCCGCCCCTAATCCCGCTCGAAGCAGCCCTGAGAAACATCGCCCATTCTCTCTCCATACCACCCCCCAAAATTTTCGCCATCCCAACACTTTACCACTATTTCGTTTTATTTTTCTTATTAATATAAGAAGACAGGAATGTCAGGCCTCTGAGCCCAAGCTAAGCCATCATATCCCCTGTGACCTGCACGTACACATCCAGATGGCCGGTTCCTGCCTTAACTGATGACATTCCACCACGAAAGAAATGAAAATGGCCTGTTCCTGCCTTAACTGATGACATTATCTTGTGAAATTCCTTCTTCTGGTTCATCCTGACTCAAAAGCTCCCCTACTGAGCACCTTGTGACCCCCCACTCCTGCCCACCAAAGAACAACCCCCCTTTGACTGTAATTTTCCTTTACCTACCCAAATCCTATAAAACGGCCCCACCCCTATCCCCCTTCGCTGACTCTCTTGTCGGACTCAGCCTGCCTGCACCCAGGTGAAATAAACAGCCTTGTTGCTCACACAGAGCCTGTTTGGTGGTCTCTTCACACGGACGCGCATGAAACAGACCAGCCTAGCCAACATGGTGAAACCCCGTCTCCACGAAAATACAAGAAATTAGCCGGGCGTGGCGGTGCGCACCTGTAGTTCCAGCTACTCGGGAGGCTGAGGCAGGGGAATCACTTGAACCTGGGAGGCGGAGATTGCAGTGAGCCCAGATCACACCAGCGTAGCGACAGAGTGAAACTCTGTCTCAAAAAAAAAAAAAAAAAAAAAAGAAAAAGAAGTTTTCTAAGGCCAGGCGCAGTGGCTCATGCCTGTAATCCAAGCACTTTTGGGAGGCTGAGGCGGGCAGATCACCTGAGGCCGGGAGTTCGAGACCGGCCTGACCAACATGGTGAAACCCTGTCTCTACTAAAAATACAAAAATGAGCTGGGCATGGCGGCGGGTGCCTGTAATCCCAGCTTCTTGGGTGCGGGGGGGATCTGTTCTGCAGATCCCAGCTGTACGACAGATGAGACACGTCCTCAGACACCAATATTCAGTGAAAGAGCAGGCCAGGGGGCTGCCGGCACTAGGAGCCAAAGAGAGTGCAGCCCCTCTAAGCTGGCAACGCTTGCATTTATTTAGCACAGATTTAATTAACAAAGGCTTTGAGTCAACACACCTGTGGGTAATTAACCTGGTCACCGCCCCCCGCCACCTCCCTGGAGAGGGCCATCTTGCCCGAGAATGATCAAAGGTTGATTTTAGGACCATATGACTAAGCAAGCTATTTAGATAAAATACTCCGCATTCCTTTGTATCTGCGCCCTAAGCTGTTTGGCTCCTGAAAAGAGAATCTGGCTGCTTTCAGCCAAACTATCTGAAGCTATGCCAACCTCCCTGGCCTTCCAAGAAGGTTTGCTGCTTCCTATTCCTATAATTTCTTCTGCTACTCTGACTGATCTCCCACACTTGGGAGGTTGAGGCAGGAGAATCCCTTGAACCAGGGAGGCAGAGGTTGCAGTGAGCCGAGATCACACTACTGCACTCCAACTTGGGTGACAAGAGCGAGACTCCATCTCAGAAAAAAAAGTTAAAAAAAAATTGTAGGCCAGGCGTGGTGGCTCACGCCTGTGATCCCAGCACTTTGGGAGGCCAAGGCGGGTGGATCACCTGAGGTCCAGAGTTCGAGACCAGCCTGACCAACATGGAGAAACCCCGTCTCTTCTAAAAATATAAAATTAGCCAGGCGTGGTGGCGCATGCCTGTAATCCCAGCTGCTCTGGAGGCTGAGGCAGGAGAATGGCTTGAGCCCAGGAGGCGGAGGTTGCGGTGAGCCGAGACCGCACCATTGCACTCCAGCCTGGGCAACAAGAGTGAGACTCTGTCTCAGAAAAAAAAAAAAAAAAATTGTAGTAAAAACATAACATACAATTTACCATCTTAGCCATTGTAAGTGTACAGTATAGCAGTGTTAAATGTATTCACGGTGTTTTGAAACAGATCTCCAGAATATTTTCATCTTGTAAAACTGAAACTCTATGCCTAAAAGAGGAATCGTTCAACACATAGAAGTTTTATTTCAACCATTTTTGTTGTTGTTGTTGAGATGGAGTCTTGCTCTGTCACCAAGGCTGGAGTGCGGTGGTACGATCTTGGCTCACTGCAACCTCCGCCTCCTGGGTTCAAGCCATTCTCCTGCCTCAGCCTCCTCAGTAGCTGGTAATGCAGGTGCGTGCCACCACACCTGGCTAATTTTTGTATTTTTAGTAGAGACGGGGTTTTGCCATGTTGGCCAGGCTGGTCTCGAACTCCTGGCCTCGTGATCTGCCTGCCTTAGCCTCCCAAAGTGCTGGGATTTCAGGTGTGAGCCACTGCGCTCAGCCTGGGAAATGTATACTTCAGAGATTGTTGGATTTTCAGGGCCTTCTGTGGCTTGACGTCATCTGGAAAAGTGTGGTCATTGGGAAGATATTACTTTGATTGGTTGTCACTCATGCTTGGGTGTTTACTGAAATGAGTCTGATTGGATGACTTTTAGAAGCAAGGAGCTGCCTGACTGATGGTAACATAACAATATAAAACGTATGGAGTGGCCGGGCTTTGTGGCTCACTCCTGTAATCCCAGCACTTTGAGAGGCTGAGGCAGGCAGATCACCCTGAGGTCAGAAGTTTGTGACCAGCTTGGCCAACATGGCGAAACCCGTCTGTACTAAAAATACAAAAATTATCTGCGTGTGGTGGCAGGTGCCTATAATCCCAGCTACTGGGGAGGCTGAGGCAGGAGAATTGCTGAACCCGGGAAAGAGAGGTTGCAGGGAGCCGAGGTCACGTCACTGCTCCCCAGCCTGGGTGACAGAGCAAGACCCCGTCTCAAAAAAAAAAAAAAAAAAAAAGAGCATCTTCACAGAGATGAGTTGTCATTGATGATGGGTTAAAAATCAGTTTTGGTGGCTACTTGTTACTGTGGTTACAGGACAATAAAATACTTTTCTGAAGAGCTCAGGAACTTTATTATTCTGAAAACGCTTTTTCCAAACAAGGTCCTTCTGTCAGCAAAACGACTTATATGAGTTTAATCTTATCCATCTCTGGGAATCTAGCCCCATTGTGTCTCTGTAATCCAAGTCCTGGACCTGACGTAAAGTCCCTCAACCCCCTTCATCCAAAATTGTGGCACTTTCCCTTTATTTATTTATTTATTATTTATTTGTTTGTTTACTTTTGAGACGGAGTCTCGCTCTGTGGCCCAGGCTGGAGTGTAGTGGCGTGATCTCAGCTCATTGCAAGCCCCGCCTCCCAGGTTCACGCCATTCTCCTGCCTCAGCCCCTGGAGTAGCTGGGACTACAGGCACCTGCCACCACACCTGGTGAAAAAAATCAGAACAAACTGAAGATATGGGCCAGAACTTGTATAAAGTGTGAAAAGCAGTCAATAAAGAAAGTTAGAAATACTTTGCATTTTTTTTTTAATCACAGGACCTGAGTTAAGCCAAGAATACAGTAGAAATTTTATCAAGTAGAGATAAGCTCTCAGTAAAGGATAAAAGTGGGCCTAAGTCCCTTCAGTTTCACTGGAAGTAGGACCCTTACATTTTATAATTATATTTTCATACATAAGCTACTGGACAATGAAGTAAATAGCAATCAGTGAAAGAGCCACATATGACCAACTTAGATTTCCTTGAGTAAAGTCTGTCAAGGGTAAAGCTGTGAAAGTTTATAAGAAAAAAGAATGGGGAATTATTTGGAAGACCATTTGAGTTTTGTACACAAGAATTTAATGTTTGCACACTTGATAATATATGTGAATATCATCAAAACTAAGTGAAAAAATAAATTAATGAGGTGAAACACATGCCTGTATTCCTTGTATGAAAATCCGGTAGAAATAGGGTTTGTGAAATAAATAGGGTAATCCTCCTGTAGGATTATGACTTTCACTCTTATCAATTTGTAGATGAACACAGCAGGAGGCTGAGGTAGGAGGATTGCTTGAGACCAGGAGTTCAAGACCAGCTTAGGCAACATAGGGAGAGCCTCACTTCAACAAAAAAAAATAAAGGAGGGGGGTTATTGAATATATTTGGCATGCTTACCAACCATTTATATTTGGGGAAGACACATTTAAAAATATAAAAAGAAGGCTGGGCGCAGTGGCTCACATCTGTAATCCCAGCACTTTGGGAGGCCGAGGCGGGCAGATCACGAGGTCAGAAGTTTGAGACCAGCTTGGCCAATGTGATGAAACCCCGTCTCTACTAAAAATACTGTAAAAGTAGCTGGGCGTGATGGTGGGAGCCTGCAATCCCAGCTACTTGGGAGGCCGAGGCAGGAGAATCACTTGAACCCAGGAGGCAGAGGTTGCAGTGAGCCGAGATCGTGCCACTGCACTCCAGCCTGGGCAACAGAGTGAGACTCTGTCTCAAATAAAAATAAAAATAAAAATAAATAAAATAAATAAAAAAAGAGAAGAACAATGAAGGAAGAAATTAAACAGGATATAAAAAATCAGAAGACAGATAAGATGGAAAACCATAACTTATGTGCAGAAAGGTGGGTGCAAATCGATCAGTCCTGCATAAGAAAACACCATTTGATTGGTTTGAACATGCATCTGGCCAGGCGTGGTGGCTCATGCCTATAATCTCAGCACTTTGGGAGGCCAAGGTGGGTGGATCACCTGAGGTCAGGAGTTCGAGACCAGCCTGGCCAACACAGTGAAACCCCATCTCTACTAAAAATACAAAAATTAGCTGGGTGCAGTGGTATGTGCCTGTAATTCCAGCTACTTGGGAGGCTGAGGCACAAGAATCACTTGAACCCAAGAGGTTCAATGAGCCGAGATTGCTCCACTGCACTCCAGCCTGGGTGACAGAGCCAGACTCTGTCTCAAAAAAAAAAAAAAGTAGATTCAAGCTTCTTAGTGAGCTTTTCTCTCTTGTGTCCTTCAAGTAGCTTTGTCGGACTCCACAGTCCTGGCTCCTCTCTGCCTTCACCTCCAGGTGTTTACTTGCAGACACTTGGTGTTCGTGCAAAGGTCAATCCTGGCTGACACATCTGTTGGCTCCAGCTCGGTTCAGCCACATCTGCCGAGGCTTCCTTGTTCAGTGCCGTATGGCTGTGCCAATTTTCAACCAGTATGGCCAAGAGAGCCACGAGGACCAGTCCTGCCACGGCCATGCGGATCAAGTTCTGCGTCGTGTAATCTTGGTGGATGGAGTCTGGAGACACAATTCAAGGAGATGAATGGTTGGTGGTTGTGTTCCATTCCATCCCAACCCCAGAGCCCTGAAACGGGAGCTCATTTTCCTTTTCGCTTGCCAAAATGGGACTCCCTCAAGCATCCCCTCAATGAGCTCATGCTTCGCCAGCACCACACTGATCAGTCAGCAAGACTGTGTTCACGGGCAAGGAACTGTGCTTCCCAGGGAAGTGCTATAAACTGGGAAGGAGGTGATTATGGGCAGGTTGTGTGTGTTTTTTTTTTTTTTTTTTTTTGAGATGGAGTCTCACTCTGTTGCCCAGGCTGGAGTGCAGTGGCGTGATCTCGGCTCACTGCAACCTCCGCCTCCCTGGTCAAGTGATTCTCCTGCCTCAGCCTCCCAAGTAGCTGGGATTACAGGCGCCCACCACCACCACGCCTGGTTAATTTTTGTATTTTTAGTGGAGATGGGGTTTCACTATGTTGGCCAGGCTGGTCTCGAACTCCCGACCTCAGGTGATCCACCTGCCTCAGCCTCCCAATGTGCTCAGATTACAGGCGTGAGCCATCGTGCCCAACCATGTTTTTTTTTTTTTTCTTGAGGTGGAGTCTCGTTCTGTCACCCAGGCTGGAGTGCAATGGCGTGATCTTGGCTCACTGCAACAGCTGCCTCCTGGGTTCAAGTGATTCTCCTGCCTCAGCCTCCTGAGTAGCTGGGACGACAGGCTCACGCCACCACGCCCGGCCAGGCAGGTTGTGTTTTCTTTTCATTCTCTCCTCACTTGGTGAATTCACTAAATACCTAATCACATCTCTACAACACCAGAACAAGGTGGAATCCTAATAAGAATGTGTGCAGCCTGGCCAGGCGCGGTGGCTCACGCCTGTAATCCCAGCACTTTGGGAGGCCGAGGCAGGTGGATCACCTGAGGTCGGGAGTTCGAGACCAGCCTGGCCAACATGGTGAAACCCTGTCTGTGTGGTCCCAGCTACTCAGGAGGCTGAGGCAGGAGAATTGCTTGAACCTGGGAGGCGAAGGTTGCAGTGAGTCGAGATCGTGCCACTGCACTCCAGCCTTGGCGAAAGAGCAAGACTCTATCCCGGAAAATAAAATGAAATAAATAAAATGAAACAAACTGAGTTAGCCCTTCTGTTCTCCACAGACTAAGTTTTCAATGAACCCTGTCTGGAGAACTCTAGCGAGGAAGTGAAAGCGGAAAGTGTGGTGGGGAAGCCTTTCTCTCTCCACTGTCCTGGAGTGAGAGCCTTTGCCTCTCTTCACTTCACTCTCAGTGCACGTCTTCATATTCCTGCCCGGTGGCAAGGCCCTGGACAGCCAACCCAGACACAGGGCTGGACTGGGCGGTACCTACCTGTGACCACAAGCTCCAAGGCATTACTGGGGAAGGACCACAGGTAGGGGCTCCTGTTGTACCAACCGTAGCACCTGTAGATCCCTGAGACATTGAGGTCCACAGGACCCAAAGAGAAGTTGGCCGGGTGTTCCCCACTTTGGTGCTGTGGCAGAGAAAGTTCTCCCTCCTTGGCCAGTGAAAATCTATCAAATGGGATGTGTGCTGAGCTGCACGTGAGGGAAATATTCTCTCCTGGCATCAACACCAGACCCCGATCTGCAGAGAGGAAGGGTTTGCCATACAAGCCTAAGAGAGAAAAGAGTGAGCTATTAGAAAGACCTTTTCTCCTTTATTCTTTTCTTCTTCTTATTATTGTTATTATTATATATTTTTTTGAGATGGAGTTTCGCTCTTATTGCCCAAGCTGGAGTGCAGTGGCGTGATCTCAGCTCACTGCAACCTCCGTCTCCCGGGTTCAAGCAATTCTCCTGCCTCAGCCTCCCGAGAAACTGGGATTACAGGTGCGTACCACCACGCCCAGCTAATTTTTGTATTTTTAGTAGAGACGGGGTCTCTCCATGTTGGTCAGGCTGGTCTCGAACTCCTGACCTCAGGTGATTTGCCCACCTTGGCCTCCCAAAGTGCTGGGATTACAGGCATGAGCAACTGTGCCCAGCCTATTATTGTTTTTTGAGATGGAGTCTCACTCTGTCACTGAGGCTGCAGTGCAGTGGCACGATCTCAGCTCACTGCAACCTCCACCTCCGAGGTTCAAGTGAGTCTCCTGCCTCAGCCTCCCGAGTAGCTGGGATTACAGGCACCCGCCACCACGCCCAGCTAATTTTTGTATTTTTAGTAAAGATGAGGTTTCTCCATGTTGGTCAGGCTGGTCTTGAATCCCTGACCTCAGGTGATCCACCTGCCTCAGCCTCCCAAAGTGCTGGGATTACAGGCGTGAACCACAGTGCCCAGCCTCTTTTTTCTTTTTTAGAATTTATTTATTTTAGAGAGGGTCTCACTCTGTCGCCCAGGCTGAGGGCAGTGGCATAATCACGGCTCACTGCAGCCTCGACCTCCCAGGCTCAGGTGATCCTACCATCTCAGCCTCTCAAGTAACTGAGACTACAGGTGGGTGCCACCATGCCCAGCTAATTTTTTGATTTTTTGTACAGATGGGGTCTTACTATGTTGCCCAGGCTGGTCTCCTGGGCTTAAGTGATCTGCCCATCTCGGCTTCTCAAAGTGCTGGGATTACAGGCGTGAGCCACGGCGCCCAGCCTCCCAAAGTGCTGGGATTACAGGCACGAGCCACGGTGTCTGGCCACAGTTACTACTTCAGCCAGGCTTTCAACAACAGCCAGCTCAACATCCACAGTCATGTTCCCATGGACAGTTTAAACCTTTGCTATGAGGAGATGAAATGGCACTTTGCTTCTGTGGTCTTGCCTGCAATGACCCATAACTCAGTCTAGTCATGAGCAAAACATCGGACAATTTCCAGTAGTGGGAGTACCCTTGAAAATAATGGACCACTACCCTCAAAACTGACAAGGTCATGGAAAACCAGCAACATCTGAGAAGCTGTGACAGCCAAGACAAACCTAAAGATACATGACACCTGCCGGGCACGGTGGCTCACGCCTGGAATCCCAGCACTTTGGGAGGCCAGGTGCGGTGGCTCATGCCTGTAATCCCAGCATTTTCGGGGGCCGGGCGTGGTGGCTCACGCCAGTAATCCCAGCACTTTGGGAGGCCAGGCGGGCGGATCACGAGGTCAGAAGATTGAGACCATCCTGGCTAACACAGTGAAACCCTATCTCTACTAAAAATACAAAAAATTAGCCAGGCGTGGTGGCGGGCGCCTGTAGTCCCAGCTACTCGGGAGGCTGAGGCAGGAGAATGGCGTGAACCCGGGAGGTTGGAGCTTGCAGTGAGCCGAGATTGTGCCACTGCACTCCAGCCTGGGCAACACAGCGGGACTCCATCTCAAAAAAAAAAAAAAAAAAAAAAATAAAGATACATGACACCTGAATGCAATGTGAAATCTTTTTGTGTGTGTGTGTGTGAGATGGAGTCTCGCCCTGTCGCCCAGCCTGGAGTGCAGTGGTGTGATCTTGGCTCACTGCAACCTCTGCCTCCTGGGTTCAAGCGATTCTCCTGCCTCAGCCTCCCAAGTAGCTGGGATTACAGGCGTGTGCCACCAGGCCTGGCCAATTTTTTCCATTTTTAGTAGAGACGAGGTTTCACTGTGTTGGCCAGGCTGGTCTCGAACTCCTGACCTCAGGTGATCCACCCACCTCAGCCACCCAAAGTGTTGGGATTACAGGCGTGAGCCACCGCGCCCAGCGATTGTTGCATTTTCAGTAGAGACGGGGAATTCACCATGTTGGCCAGGCTGGTCTCGAACTCCTGACCTTGGGTGATCCACCCGCCTCGGCTTCCCTAAGTGTTGGGATTACAGGCGTGAGCCACCACTCCCAGCCGCAATGTGAAATCTTGAATGGGATCCTGGAACAGAGAAAGACTATCAGGTAAAAACTAAGAAAATGTAAATAAACTGTAGACTGTAGCTGGGAATGTGTCGATATTTGTTCATTAATGGTAAGAAATGTGCCATACTAATGTAAGATGTTAACTCTGGGGGAAGTGGGGTGCCAGATGGCTGAGAACTCTCTGAAGCAATCATCAATTTTTTTTTGTTTGTAAATCTAAAACTTCTTGAAAAATACTCTATTAAAAATAAGAAAAAAATCACACCAGGGCTGTGGACCCTGGATGTTTCCTTACCTGTCACTACCAGCTCCAGGGTGTCACTGTACCGGAACCTGTAGTGCCCTATCCTATATTGGCACTGATAGCGCCCTGCCTTGTTTGCGTCCATGTGGTCAATGACGAACTCAGGATCAGTCTCATTCCAAAACTTCAGTCTTCTGCCTATCTCTCGGTACGTGGAGTTTTTTATGATCATCAGCTGGGTCAGGTAAGCTTCACGAATGGCCTGGCACTGGATTTTCACAGATCCATCCAAGGGAATCACAGGACTCGATTTGGCAGATATGAAAGGCATGGGAAAGTCCCCTGGAAGAAAAGAAAGCCCAGACTGAGGTGGCTTGCCATGGGGAAGCCATTCCTTTCCTTCTCTGTGGGAGAAGTAAAAATACATTAGGGTGTGAAGAACCTACCATTCTTTATTTAAAAAAAAATTTAGGCCGGGTGCGGTAGCTCACGCCTGTATTCCCAGCACTTTGGGAGGCCGAGGCGGGTGGATCACAAGGTGACGATATCAAGACCATCCTGGCTAACACGGTGAAACCCCGTGTCTACTGAAAATACAAAAAATTAGCAGGACGTGGTGGCGGGCGCGTGTAGTCCCAGCTACTCGGGAGATTGGGGCAGGAGAATGGCGTGAACCTGGGAGGCAGAGCTTGCAGTGAGCCGAGATCACACCACTGCACTCCAGCCTGGGCAACAGAGTGAGACTTCGTCTCAACAACAACAACAAAAAAATTAAAAAAAGAGAAAAATTTAAATAATTTGTGATGCTGAGGTTTGGAGTACGATTGATCCTGTCACCCAGGTACTGAGCATAGTACCCAATAGGCAGTTTTTCAACCCCCTTTCTTCCCCCCCATCTAGTAGTCTCCAGTGTCTATGGTTGCCATCTTTATTTTTTATTGTTATTATTTTTCGAGACAGAGTCTTGTTTTGTCGCCCAGGCTGCAGTGCAGTGGTGCAATCTCAGCTCCTCCGCCTCCCGGGTTCAAGCAATTCTGCTGCCTCAGCCTTCCGAGTAGCTGGGATTACAGGTGCCCACCACCATGCCTGGATAATTTTTGTATTTTTAGTAGAAACGGGGTTTCACCATGTTGGCCAGGCTGGTCTTGAACTCCTGACTTCAAGTGATCCACCTGCCTCGGCCTCCCAAAGTGCTGGGATTACAAGCGTGAGCCACCGCACCTGGCTGCAACTGGGGTTTTTGCAGAGGCAACACTGAAGCCAGGGGGACCTCCGCAGGCATTGACCCCAGAGCAGTCGGGTGCCGTTACCACAGCCCCCGCAGAGGCCACGGGCATGGTGCGTGGGAGCAGTGAGATGGCTCCACCTGCCGTTACTCCACAAGGCTCAAGGCCAGTTTCCAGCATAGTGGCCCAGCTTCTGCCTGAACTCTGCCCGGGGTCGTGGCTGCATGCTTCCCTGGAAAGCACCCAGATGGTGAAGTGGGTGACTCCACCCACCCCTGCCACTTGCAGCCAGACGGGCCAGGCTTGCTGGGTCTTCCAGCGCTGCAGACCCCCTTCTGCCTGAACTCTGTGGGGTGTGCAGCTCTGTGTTTTTCTTTTCTTTTCTTTTTTTGTTGAGATGAAGTCTCACTCTGTTGCCCAGGCTGGAGTGCAGTGGTGTGATCTTGGCTCACTGCAAGCTCCGCCTCCCGGGTTCACACCATTCTTCTGCCTCAGCCTCCCGAGTAGCTGGGACTACAGGCGCCCGCCACCACGCCTGGCTAATTTTTTTTTGTATTTTTAGTAGAGACGGGGTTTCACCATGTTATCCAGGATGGTCTCAGTCTCCTGACTTCGCAATCTGCCCATCTCGGCCTCCTAAAGTACTGGGATTACACGTGTGAGCCACCATGCCCAGTAGCTCTGTGTTCCCCTGGGAAGCACTGAGATGGCAGATCATGTGGCTCCAATCACCCTTGCTGAGAAGGACTCACCACGTTAGGTGGCGACCAAGCCGTGAGGAGCCCTCATTCTCAGAACGTTCAGAGGGGTGAAACACCTGATTTCATCAGCCTGCAGAGGTGCGGGGTGGTCCTCCCTCCATAGGGCTGGCCGGGGAAGGATACAGCCTGTCTGCCCACCATGCCCTGCCTGAGGGAGCCCCGTGGGCAGAACAATCCTAACAAAGGAAACAGTGGGTGCAGAGCCAGTGACTGTAGGAGGCTCCTCCAAGGCCCAAGAATGGACCAGGCGAGGGAGT
The DNA here is from genome assembly GCF_000001405.40 of Homo sapiens. NCBI lineage: Eukaryota > Metazoa > Chordata > Mammalia > Primates > Hominidae > Homo > Homo sapiens. Next base: position 157,550 of record NT_187683.1, on the reverse strand, counting down.
CACCCCTCCTCACAACCACAGAGCACTACTGCCGACTTTGTCAAAATACAAGAGTTAGGGGGCCAAGGCAGGCAGATTGCTTGAGCCCAGGAGTTTGAGACCAGCCTGGTAAACATGGTGAAACCCCATCTCTACAAAAAAAAAAAAAAAATTACAAAAATTTTCTCTTTATGGTGCTGCGTGCTTGTAGTCCCAGCTACTCAGGAGGCTGAGGCAGGAGGATCACTTAGCCTGATAGGTAGAGGCTGCAGTGAGCCGAGATTGTGCCACTGTGCTCCAGCCTGGGCGACAGAACAAGACCCTGTGTCAAAAAACGAAACAAAAAACGAAACAAAACTACAAAAGAGCCTTGTGGCTAAGATCCTGTATGCTGGCCAACCCTTTTAAGTGCCACCTACTGGATCACACTTCAAAATACAACACTGAAAAATTTTGCCAGTATACAATGAAGGGAAAAATTCAGCCACAAATAAAGATCCTGTGCAGAGTCCTGGCATCTGAAAACACCCAGAAATGAAGCCAAGCGACTGTACTCAACCGACATCACAGTTAAAGGAACACCAGCCCTCACACAAGAGAAAGAATCAACACCAAGGCCGGGCGCGGTGGCTCACACCTGTAATCCCAGCACTTTGGGAGGCTGAAGTGGGCAGATCACCGGAGGTCAAGAGTTTGAGACCAGCCTGACCAACGTGACAAAACCCGGGCTCTACTAAACATACAAAAATTAGCCGGGCGTGGTGGCACACACCTGTAATCCCAGCTACTCAGGAGGCTGAGACAGGAGAATCGCTTGAACCCGGGAGGTGAAGGTTGCAGCAGTGAGCTGAGATCGTGCCACTGCACTCCAGCCTGGGCGACAGAGTAAGACTCTGCCACAAAAAAGAAAAAAAAAAGAAAAAAAAAAAAGAATCAACACAAGAACTCTGGCAACTCGATAGTTCCCCAGAAATCTGGTTCTTAGCTACATTGAGATGAATGAAACGAGGGTTATAGAATTCAGAATCTGGATGGCCAGGACGCTCTTCGAAATTGAGGAGAAATTTGAAACACAATCCAAGGGGTCCATGGTGGGGACACACTGGCTTTTTGAGTTCCCAGAATTCTTTTTCATGTGTGGGGGCCCGGTCATTATGCCACAGCCATCAGACAGAGAGGAGTCCAGTCTCTCTTCCCCGTGAGCTCCCACCCCCACTTTACCAGGCAGAGCCCCCAGCTCGGGAGTGCAGAGCAGCTGCCCCGCCCTCAGCACACTCACTGGTGGTGGCTCGTGTTTCCCTGGGGAGTGGCTCCCAGAGGCAACTGACAGCCCCTCTGCCACTGCCATGGCAAGGGTTCTGCCTCTGCTGCCCGTGATCTGGGGAAGAAGCAAGGAGCCTGGGGCCTTCATTCATGCTTCAATTTATTTATTTATTTATTTATTTATTTATTTATTTATTTATTTATTTATTTGAGACGGAGTCTCGCTCTGTCGCCCACGCTGCAGTGCAGTGGCCCGATCTCGGCTCACTGCAAGCTGCGCCTCCCGGGTTCACACCATTCTCCTGCCTCAGCCTCATCCTCCTCCCGAGTAGCTGGGACTACAGGCGCCCGCCACCACGCCCGGCTCATTTTTTGTGTTTTCAGTAGAGACGGGGTTTCACCAGATTAGCCAGGATGGTCTCGATCTCCCGACCTCGTGATCCGCCCGCCTCGGCCTCCCAAAGTGCTGGGATTCCGGGCGTGAGTCCACCGCGCCCGGCCTTCATTCATGCTTCCAGCACACCGCAGTCGCCATACGGAGAGGAGCTCAGTCTCCTCTCCCTGTGAGCCCTCAACCCCCTGCTCTTCAACAAGCCCCAGCTTGATTCCGCGGCACAACAGCCCCACCCTCTGGCGGAGCGTTCCCAGCAGCTGTGAGTCTGCGTTTCTCTGTGGCGGAGCTCCCAGAGGCAACGGAAGGTCACTCTGCCGCTGCCACTGCGGTGGTACTGGCCTTGCTGCCCTCAGACTGGGGAAGGAGCAAAGACTCTGAGTGCTTCAACCACACCTCCGGCAAACTGCCCTAAGGAGAAGAGGCCAGTCTGTCACCCCTGTGACCCACCTGTCCCCCCTGCTCATCACTAGGCAGGGCCCCTAGCTTGGACCCACAGTGCAGTCGCCTCACTCTTGGCTCATCGCACTGATAGTGGCTCCACATCTCTCTGGGGTGGAGTTCCAAGGGACAAGTGAAAGGCCGTCTGCCACAACCGCTGCTAAGGTCCCTTCCCCTGCTGCCCCCAAGCCACGGAGGGAACATAAAGTCTGAGCTCACCCCAGAGCTGTGATGTGCAGCCTGGGAGTGCCGAGCCCAGATCTGCAGCCAGCACTTGGGTGGGAGAGGAGCCCGCACTTTCAGAGCGTGAGAGGGAGCACAGCGGCAATCATGAGGAATGACCTACTGGCCGTTGTGCTGAAGCATCATTTACCGGATTGCAGCCCAAACTTCAACACCAAAAATGCTCGCTAATATACCTCCCTGTGAAACCAAGGACAAGAATTTAGCTATAAATAAAGACCCTGTGCGAAGCCCCAGCCCTCTGAAACCATCCAGAAAAGAAGTCTACTGACTGTGCTCAAATTACATCACGGTTAAAAGAAAAAAGAAAAAAATTCAAATTGCAGCACACTCAAAGGAACATTAGCCCACATGGATGAGAAAGAACTGAGCAAGAACTCCATCAACTCAAAAAGCAACAGTGTCTTCCTTCCTCCAAATTACCACACAAGCTTCCCAGCAAGGGCTCTTTACCTGGCTGAAATGACAGAAATAGAATTCAGAATATGGATAGAAATTAAGGTCATCAAGATTCAGGAGAAAGTTGAAACCCAATGCAAGGAACCTAAAGATTACAATAAAATGACAGAGGGGCTAATCTATGAGATGGTCATTTTGAAAGAACCAAACGGATCTGATGGAGCTGAAAAACACACTACGAGATTTCATAATGCGATCACAAGTATTAATGGCAAAATAAAGCAAAATAAGGAAAGAATCTCAGAGCATGAATACTGGCTCTCTGAACTAATTCAGTCAGACAAAAATGAAGAAAAAGAATAAAAATTAATGAACAAAACCTCTAAGAAATATGGGATCATGAAAAGAGACCAAATAGCCCATTGGCATCCCCGAAAGAGATGGGGAGAAAGCAAGGAACATGGAAAACATATTTCAGTGTATTGTTCATGAAAACTTCCCCAACGTCACTAGAGAGGCCAAGAATCAAATGCAGGAAACAGAGAACCCCTGCAAAATACTACACAAGAAGAGCATCCCCAAGACACAAAATCATCAGATTCTTCAAGGTAGAAATGAAAGAAAGAAATGTCGGCCGGGCGCGGTGGCTCACGCCTGTAATCCCAGCACTTTGGGAGACCAAGGCGGGCGGATCACGAGGTCAGGAGATTGAGACCATCCTGGCTAACATGGTGAAACCCCATCTCTACTAAAAAAATATAAAAAATTAGCTGGGCGTGGTGGTGGGCACCTGTAGTCCCAGCTACTGGGGAGGCTGAGGCAGGAGAATGGCGTGAATCCGGGAGGCGGAGCTTGCAGTGAGCCGAGATCACGCCATTGCACTCCAGCCTGGCAGCCTGGGCAACAGAGCAAGACTCAGTCTCAAAAAAAAAAAAAAAAATGTGAAAAGGCAGCAAAAAAGAAGGGGCAGGTCACCTACAAAGGGAATGCCATCGAGCTAACAGCAGACCTTTCAGCAGAAACTCTACAATCCAGAAGAGATTGGGGGCCTATATTTAATGTTCTTATGAAAAGAATTTCCAACCAAGAATCTCATTCCCAGCCAAACTAAGTTTCATAAGTGAAGGAGAAATAAGATCCTTTACAGACAAGCAAATGCTGAGGGAATTTATTACCATCAGGCCTGCCTTACAAGAGGTCCTAAGAGGAACGCTAAATATGGAAAGAAAAGACCATCACCAGCCAATAGAAAACACACTTACGTACATAAACCAGTGACACTATAAAACAACCACACAAACAAGTCTGCATAATAACCAAACCAGCTAACAACATGATGACAGGAAAAAATCTGCACATGTAAATGCTAACTTTGAATGTAAATGGACTAATTGTCCTAATTAAAATGCAGAGAGTGGCAAGTTGGATAAAGAAGCAAGAGGCCAGGTGCAGTGGCTCACGCCTGTAACCCTGGCACTTTGGGAGGCTGAGGTGGGTGGATCATTTGAGGTCAGGAGTTCGACATTAGCCTGGCCAATGTGATGAAATCCCATCTCTAATAAAAAAAAAAAATAGCTGGGCGTGGTGGTACACACCTGTAATCCCAGCTATTTGGGAGGCTGAGGCAGGAGAATCATTTGAACCTGGGAGGCAGAAGTTGCAGTGAGTCAAGATCATACCACTGCACTCCAGCCTGGGTGACAGAGTGAGACTCCATCTCAAAAAAAAAAAAAAAAAAAAAAGCAAGACTCAACATTATGCTGCCTATAAGAAACCCATCTCATATGCAATGACATCCATAGGCTCAAAGTAAAGAAATGGAGAAAAATCTACCAAGCAAATGGAAAGCCAAAAAAAAAAAAAAATGCAGGAGCTGCTATTAAAATTTCAGACAAAACAGACTTTATACCAACAAAGATCAAAAAAGGCAAAGAAGGGCATTAAATCATGGTAAAGGGTTCAATTCAACATGAAGACCATAGCAGGACAGTGGCCACGGAAGTCGGAATCTGCTAAGGAGTGTGTAATAGCCCAACTGCTGAATCAAAAAGAAAAAGAAAAAAAAAATTAAAAAAAGAGCATGAAGACCTAACTATCCTAAATATATATGCACCTAACATGGAAGCACCCGGATTCATAAAGCGTGTTCTGAGAGACCAACGAAGAGACTTAGACAACCACACAATAATAGGGGGAGACTTTAACATCCCGCCGACAGTATTAGATCATTGAGGCAAACAGAGATATTCAGGACCTGAACTCAGCAGTGGATCAAATGGACCTGACAGACATCTACAGAACTCTCCACCCCCAAAACAACAGAATCTACATTGTTTTCATTGCCTCATGGCACATACTCTAAAGTCAATCATACAATCAGACATACAGCAATCCTTAGCAGGCTGGGCACGGTGGCTCACACCTGTAATCCCAGCACTTTGGGAAGCCAAGGCTGGCGGATCATGAGGTCAGGAGATCGAGACCATCCTGGCTAACGCAGTGAAACCCCGTCTTTACTAAAAATACAAAAAAAATTAGCCGGGCGGGGTGGCGGGCACCTGTAGTCTCAGCTACTCAGGAGGCTGAGGCAGGAGAATGGTGTGAACCTGGGAGGCGGAGCTTGCAGTGAGCCTAGATTGCGCCACTGCACTCCAGCCTGGGCGACAGAGCAAGACTCCATTTCAAAAAAAAAAAAAACAATCCTTAGCAAATCCAGAAAAGCGAAATCAGAGCACAGTGGAATAAAAATAGGAATAAATACTAAGAAAACCACTCAAAACTGTACAATGCATGGAAATTAAGCAGTCTGTTCTGGAATTTTTGGGTAAATATAGCAGAATCTCTGGGACACAGCTAAGGCAGTGTTAAGGGGGAAGTTTATAGCACTAAACTCCCACTTCAAAAAGCTAGAAAAAGTTCAAATTAACAACCTAACATCATAACAAGAGGAACTAAGAGAACCAAGAGGAAATCAACCCCAAAGCTCATAGGAAACAAGAAATAACCAAAATCAGAGCTGAGCTGAAGGAGATTGAGACACGAAAAAGCATTCAGAAGATCAGCAAATCGAGGAGTAGAATTTTTGAAAAAATTAGTAAGACAGATGACTAGTTAGACTAATAAAGAAGAAAAGAGAGATGATCCGGATAAACACAATTAGAAACAACAAAGGGTATATTACCACTCACCCCACAGAAATACAATCATCAGAGAATATTATGAACACCTCTATGCACACAAACTAGAAAATCCAGAATAAATGGAGAAATTCCTGGACACATACACCCTCCTGAGATCAAACCAAGAATAAATTGAATACATGAACAGACCAATAATGAGCTCCAAAATTGAATCAGTAATAAAAATCCTACAGACCAGAAAAAGCCCAGTACCAGACAGACTCACAGCTGAATCCCATCTGATATATAAAGAAGAGCTGGTACTATACCTACTGAAACGTTCCAAAAATATTCAGGAGGAGGAATGCCTCCCCAGCTCATTCTATGAGACCAGCATCATCTTGATGCAAAAACATGGCAGAGACACAACAAAACCAGAAAACTTCAGGACAATATCCTTGTTGAACATAAATGCAAAAATCCTCAACAAAATACTAGCAAACTATCCAGCAGCACATCAGAAAGCTAATCCACCACCATCAGGTAGGCTTTATTTCTGGGATGCAAGGTTGATTCGATATAGGAGTCTCGCTCTGTTGCCCAGGCTGGAGTGTAGTGGCGTGAACTTGGCTCACTGCAAGCTCCGCCTCCTGGATTCACGCCATTCTCCTGCCTGAGCCTCCCGAGCAGCTGGGACTACAGGTGCCCACCACCACGCCTGGCTAATTTTTTTGTGTTTTTTAGTATAGACGAGGTTTCACCGTGTTAGCCAGGATGGTGTCGATCTCCTGACCTCATGATCCACAAGCCTTGGCTTCCCAAAGTGCTGGGATTACAGGCATGAGCCACAGTGCCCGGCCAATATACACAAATCTTAAATATGATTCATCACATAAATAGAACAACCCTCCCCACACACATAATCCTCTCAATAGAGCTTTTGATAAAATTCAACATCCCTTTATGCTAAAAAACCTCGACAAACTAGGCATTGAAGAAACATATTTCAAAATAATAAGAATGATGTATGACAAACTCACAGTCAACATCATATTGAATGGGCAAAAGCTGGAAGTATTCCCCTTGAAAACTGGCAAAAGACATGGATGCCGTCTCTCACTACTTCTGTTCAACATAGTACTGGAGGTCCTAGCTAGAGCAATCAGGCAAGAGAGAAATAAAAGGCATCCAAATAGGAAGAAAGGAAGTCAAACTATCCCTGTTTGCAGGTGATATGATTCTATACCTAGAAAACCACAGTCTCTGCCCAAACACTTCTTAATCTGATAAACAACTTTAGCAAAGTTCCAGGATACAAAATCAATATATAAAAATCAGTAGCATTCCTATACACCAAAAACATCTAAGCTGAGAGCCAAATCAAGAATAGAATCCATTCACAATTACTGCAAAAAGAATAAAATACCTGGGAATACAGCTAACCAGGGAGGTGAAAGATCTCTGCAAGGAGAACTACAAAACACTGGTCAAAGAAATCATAGATGACACAAACAAATGGAAAAACATTCCATGCTCATGGATAGGAAGAATGAGTATTGTTCAACACACAAATAATTCAGGCTTTAGAAGGAGCTGGAAGAGAGAAGACATGGATGGACGTGGGGCTCACACCCATTAGGAGGCTAAGGCAGTAGTAGTTGGGGTGGCAGAATATTCAGTAGTACACTAAGACTGCCTCATGCTTAGTACTGCAGTAGTACTACAGAATGCTAGAGTGTTCAGTAGGGTTAGACTATGGCAGCATCCTTTTAAATGAAGTGACGGGAGGAAGTGGGTTGCTAAAACAAAATAGAATCAGCATAAGGAAGGATATTGGGCAGATGACTCCTGACTTCCTCATTCTTGCAGTTTGAGCATTCAGTAAATTACAGATCCTTCATGGACAGTCTAACACAGGCAAGGACTAACTATAAATCCAGGCCTGAGCATTAATGAGTCTGAAGGGTTTGGAGATAACAAAGTGAGATAGAAATTATGCAAGAGAAGCACAGCAGAAACAACTAGAATGGGGATTAAAATAAGAATGGTGCTTCAGGCTATTCTTCAATTTCTTTATCCTAGAGCTCCCAAGAGGGTCTAAAGGGGCTGGGAGAGATTTACAGGACACTTACCTTCCTGTGCCTGAATCCTCTGGCCCAGACAGAGCACTGGAAGAGAGAGATTTATGAAAAATCAAGCTTCCATTTCCAACCTTTACGACAAATCACCCTCTGTAATGACAGACCAGAAAAAGACCAGTACCAGATGGATTCACAGCTCAATCCCACCAGATATATAAAGAAGAGCTGGCATTTTTTTTTTTTTTTGAGACAGAGTCTCGCTGTGTCGCCCAAGCTGGAGTGCAGTGGCATGATCTTGGCTCACTGCAAGCTCTGCCTCCCAGGTTCATGCCATTCTCCTGCCTCAGCCGCACGAGTAGCTGGGACTACAGGCGCCCGCCACCACGCCTGGCTAATTTTTTTGTATTTTTAGTAGAGACAGGGTTTCACCATGTTGGCCAGGATGGTTTTGATCTCCTGACCTTGTGATCCGCCTGCCTTGGCCTCCCAAAGTGCTGGGATTGCAGGTGTGAGCCACTGCGCCCGGCCAAGAAGAGCTAGTATTATTCCTACTGAAACTATTGAAAAAAATCCTGGAGGAGGGACTCCTCCCCAACTCATTCTATGAGGCCAACATTATCCTGATAACAAAATGTGGCAGAGATACAACAAAAACAGAAAACTTCTGGATAATATCTTTGTTGAACATAAATGCAAAAATCTTCAACAAAATACTAGTAACCATATTTCTATATGGGGTTCTATCATATGTTTTCCTTCCACAACAATCACAGTTTTGAGGTTCATTCTTTATTTTTACCTTTCAGATTCCAGCCTCTAAGTCTCTCCTTGATAAGAACCTTGGGACCATCATGAATCCCAGATAACACACTATAGGTTTAATACAAATATTAAACCTTGAGCCCCACAAGCTAGCTTGGGCTTGGGTAGAGACAAAGTTATAGATACATTGACAAAGACGGCCTTTCCACTAAGGAGATCAGAATCTCCTTGGCAGCCACTAAAATCTCCTAGTCACACTGTTAAGAGACACCCTGATTATTTTGGGATTTCTCTATCTTCCCCTCTAACCCACTTTTACTCTGAAACTCACCAAGACACAGGAGGGTGGTCTGTTTGGGGTCCATCGTGCTGACACGGCCTCAGCCCCGTTGCTCTCCTTTCAATGCACATTAGCAGGATGACAGATATTCTTACGACAATAAGCTCCGCAGGAAGTATGAGGACAGAGCCCCTCGTCAGGGAATTTCCACATCTATTGCCTCACAACAAAGTGGAACAGTTCGTTGCCGAATAACTTAGTTCCAGGTTGCTCTTGGGTGGAGCCCAAGAGAAGACATATATATGTATATTTTTTTAAATAGAGATGGGGTCTTTCTATGTTGGCCAGGGTAGTCTCTAACTTCTGGCATCAAGAAATCCTCCTGCCTAAGACCTATATTTCTATTTATGTTTCAGATGAGAAACGAATGAGAAGTGAATTTTCATTAAGCCAGTGTCTAATGGTGTTCAAATTCATCTTTGAACCAGATGCTACATCCAAATAGACGGGCTTGGGACAGAATATAAGGTGGTGGATACCATACAGGCAGACATTGCCTTCACTGGGCCATTAGTCAAAAGCTCTGTGGCTTTGTCTGTTCTGAACCTATGTTTCATCTCTGAGATTCATGGTCTGAGTATATTTACTTGGACTTGACCAGGCATGCAGTATACCCTTATCCTGGAGATGATCTCAATGCCAGAGTGTGGAGGCATTTTCTCTGGCACTATTTGTCATCTCTAAAGAAAGAATCTACTATTTTATTATACTTTTTTGTTTATTTGTATAAATTTAAGGAGCGCAAGTGAAATTTTATTACGTGGATATTTTGTGTAGTGGTGAAGTCTGGGCTTTTAATATAATTATCCTCAAATAATGTACATTGTTGCTCATTGAGTATTTTTTTAACTTTTATTTTAGGTTCAAGGGTACATGGGAAGGTTTGTTATACAGGTAAACTTGTGTCATGGGGGTTTGTTGTACAGATTATTTCATCACCTAGGTAATAAGCTTGGTACCTAATAGTTACTTTGCCTGCTCCTTTCCCGCCTCCCACCCTCCACCCTAAAGGAGACCCCATTGTCTGTTTTTCCCTTTTTTGTGTTCATGAGTTCTATTATTTAGCTTCCACTTATAAGTGAGAACCTGCTGTATTTGGTGTTCTGTTCTTGTATAGTTTGCTAAGGATAATGGCCTCCAGCTCCATCCATGTTTCCACAAAACATATGAACTCATTCTTTTTTTATGGCTTCAAATTAATTTTATTTTTATCTTATTATTTATGTTATTTTGATTGTAGACTCCTGGCTATCACGAATTCTTCAGGTATGGAGAGTGAAATATTCCTAATTAAACCTTCTACTATTTTATTTTATTTTATTTATTCTTTTTTTTTTTTTGAGACGGAGTCTTGCTCTGTCGCCCAGGCTGGAGTGCAGTGGCGTGATCTCAGCTCACTGCAAGCTCCACTTCCTGGGTTCATGCTATTCTCCTGCCTCAGCCTCCCGAGTAGCTGGGACTACAGGCATCCGCCACCACGCCCGGCTAATTTTTTTTGTATTTTCAGTAGAAACGGGGTTTCACCGTGTTAGCCAGGATGGTCTCGATCTCCTGACCTCGTGATCCACCCACTTCGGTCCCCCAAAGTGCTGGGATTACAGGCGTGAGCCACCGCGCCCCACTTTATTTTCATTTTAATACATCATAACTTAGCCCTTCCAACGCCGAAGTATTTTGAAGTCCTGAGCTTGTCCCATATTTCAGAAAGCCGATCAGCTTCCATGTTGACTGTTTCATTTGTGCAAATTTAAGTGACCTTTTGTTTTGCCACATTTTGTTAATTTCCACATACATATTTACGTTCGGGAAATTTGGAAATACTACGTTCTGGAAATTTGGTGTTGATGATTGCATGAAATTGACCGCATTCTAATTTTCTTTTTTTGTTGTTTTGTTACTTATGCCTTATTTATTCATTCCTTTGTTCTCACTTGAATGGGACTTTGGGTGAAAGACAAATAATGGCTGTACTCTTAGTTGAGTATTTAAAATGCAGAGATTGTAAAGGCAGGATGACCTAATTAAAAATACTATTGTTGGCTGGGTGCAGTAGCTCATGCCTGTAATCCCAGCACTTTGGGAGGCCAAGGCAGGTGAATCACTTGAGTTCAGGAATTTAAGACCAGCCTGGTCAATGTGGTGAAACCCAGTCTCTACTAAAAATATAAAAAATTACTTGGGTGTGGTGGCGGGTGCCTGTAATTCCAGCTACTCGGAAGGCTGAGGCAGGAGAGCCACTTGAACCCAGGAGGCAGAGGTTGCAGTGAGCCAAGATCACTGCACTCCAGCCTGGGCAACACAGAGCGAGACTGTGTCTCAAAAAAACAAAAGCTATTGTTATGGTTTACAAATGACGTGGCTTTCTATTGGGAGAGAGATACTTACTAATTGTTGAATTTCAGGAACTTCAGTGGCCAATATTTACTAATGGGCTGGAACAGATTTTGTCAACTTACCACAACATTTGGTGTGGTTTTGTTCTTTTGTTTCCTCCTTTTGTGGAACAGGAATGGTAACGTAGCCATGGGGTGCTGAGATATTTGGTTAAACATTATTCTGTGTGTGTCTGTGGGGGTGTTGCTGAATGAGATTATCAATGGAATTAGTGTAATTTATAAAGCAGATTGCTCTCCCTAATGTGAGTCGGCCTCATTCAATCAGGTGGGACCTGAATAGAACAAAACATTGAACTGGTAATGTAAGATGAAGTTCCTTTTGCCTGGACATCAGTCTTTTCTGGCTCTTGAACTCTCACTAAAACATTGACTCTTTAGATGTTAAGCCTGCCAGCTTTTTTTGTTTGTTTGTTTTTTTGAGATAGAGTCTCACTCTGTCACCCAGGCTGGAGTGCTGTGGCATGATCTCGGCTCACTGCAACCTTCACCTCTTGGGTTCAAGCAATTCTCGTACCTCAGCCTCTGAGTAGCTGGGATTACAAGCGAATGCCACTATGCCCGGCTAATTTTTGTATTTTTAGTAAAGATGGGGTTTCACCATGTTGGCCGGGCTGGTCTTGAACTCTGACCTCAGGTGATCTGCCTGCCTTGGTCTCCCAAAGTGTTGGGATTACAGGCGTGAGCCATCATGCCCGGCATGAGCCTGCTAGCTTTTGGACTGTTACGTATACCACTAACTCTACTGGTTCTCAGACTTTTGCACGTAGACTGGAACTACACGTGGACTCCCCTGGGTCTCCAGCTTGCAGATGGCAGATCATGGGACCTGTCAGTCTACATAGTTGCATAAGCCAATATATAAATACCCTATCTGTGTATCAATCATTATATATCTGTCATTATCCAACTATATGTCTATCATTATTTGTGATATCATTATATATCTATCATTATTTGTCTATCAATCATTATCTATATATCTATCATTATTAGTGTTGATTATTTTTTTTTCTGGAGAACCCTGACTACTATAGCTTCCATGTTCCTGTCTCAACTGTCACCAGTCCCCTTAGCACAGGGCCTATCATAGCCATTCTACGGCCCAAGGAATTACAAGCCACATAACTACAGGAGTCACAGTGACCCAAGGATTTAGACGGAGACACGGAAGAATTGAGGCATCTATTGGTCTCTGCATATTTTGGGATTTGGGATTTCCCAGCAGGGAAATTTGCCTTGAATCTGTCTAACTGGTCACTAAGAGTTGATTGGTAGGTTCCATTCTCCGTGCACAGCATAAACCCTAATAAGCCCAAACTGACTGGCAGTGGAGACTCTCAACCCTCAATGGGACCAAACTGTGACTGGCAGTGGAGACTCTCAACCCTCAATGGGACCAAACTGTGACTGGCAGTGGGGACCTTCAACCCTCAGTGGGACCGAACTGTGACTGGCAGTGGGGACCTTCAACTCTCAGTGGGACTTTACAGCACTCAGCTGCACCTGTGTGGAGAATTTGTCTCAAACACCTAAGAAGGAAGGAGGCCTTTGTTTCGAGGAAGAAGAAGGGGAGCTGCTTCTCTATCCACTGACCTCAGAGGTACCGGAGAGTGTCCAGTGAGGGCCTTAACTCTCTGCAGTATTTTTTTTTTTTTTGAGATGGAGTCTCACCCTGTCGCCCAGGCTGGAGTGCAATGGCAGGATCTCGGCTCACTGCAACCTCTGCCTCCCCAGTTCAAACGATTCTCCTGTCTCAGCCTCCTGAGTATCTCAGATTTACAGGCACCTGCCACCATGCCCAGCTATTTTTTGTATTTTTAGTAGAGACAGAGTTTCACCATGTTGGCCAGGCTGATCTCGAACTCCTGACCTCGTGATCTGCCCACCTCCGCCTCCCAAAGTGCTGGGATTATAGGCGTGAGCCACTGCACCCAGCCACTCTCTGCAGTTTTAAAGGCCATTTCCATGAATTAGAGTATACTTAGGCACTGAGGTAAGCATGGCACAGCTTTCTGAAAATAAAGTTGAAACTTAGAGGTTTCTTTTAGCTTTATTGAGATATGATTGACAAATGGAAATTGTATATATTTAAGGTGTATTACACTTGATGTTTTGATGTATGTATACATGGTGACATGATCATCATAGTCAAGCTAGTTATATCCATCATCTCGCAGGGTTATTGTTTTTTTTTTTTTTTTTTTTTTGAGAGGAAGTCTTACTCTGTCCCCCAGGCTAGAGTGCAGTGGTGCCATCTTGGCTCACTGCAACCTCCGCTCCCAGGTTCCAGCAATTCTCGTGCCTCAGCCTCCTGAGTAGCTGGGATTACAGGCTTGTGTCACCACGCCTGGCTAATGTTTGCATTTTTAGTAGAGACAGGGTTTCACCATGTTGGCCATGCTGGTCTTGAACTCCTGACCTCAAGTGATCTGCCCGTCTTGGCCTCCCAAAGTGCTGGGATTACAGGCGTGAGCCACCGCGCCCGGCCTATGGTTTCTTTTTCTTTCTTTCTTTTTTTTTTTTTTGTGGTGAGGACCCTTAAGATCTACTCTCCCAGCCGGGCGTGGTGGCTCATGCCTGTAATCCCAGTACTTTGGGAGGCCGAGGCAGGCGGATCACGAGGTCAGGAGATCGAGACCATCCTGGCTAACACAGTGAAACCCCGTCTCTACTAAAAATACAAAAAATTAGCAGGGCGTGGTGGCGGGCGCCTGTAGTCCCAGCTACTCGGGAGGCTGAGGCAGGAGAATGGCGTGAACCCAGGAGGCGGAGCTTGCGGTGAGCCGAGATCGCGCCACTGCACTCCAGCCTGGGTGACAGAGCAAGACTCCAGCTCAAAAAAAAAAAAAAAAAAAAAAAAATCTACTCTCCCATGCTTGCCTCGGCAGCACATATACTAAAATTGGAACGATACAGAGAAAACTAGCATGGCCCCTGCGCAAGAATGACACGCAAATTCGTGAAGTGTTCCATATTTAAAAAAAAAAATCTACTTTCCTGGTAAATTTCAAGTATAGAGTACAGTATTGTCAACCATAGTGGCAAAGCTGTACAAGAGATCTTCAGACCCATTCCTCCTGAATACCTGATAGTTTGTATCCTTTGATCAACATCTCCCAATTCCCTCCCCCACACTGTCCCTGTAGTTCTAGTGAGTTTCCCAGACTCTGATGTCTCAATTTCATTCAGTCACTTTCCTCCAGATACATCTACCCATTCCTACTGCATCTTAGTATCCTGAGCCTTGGGGGCAGTTTCTGTGCCAAGTGGAAATGTGGAAATGAGATATTACGAAGAAAAATCTTTGCCCACCTAGACAGGGATCTGATGTTTTCCAAGATGACACATGATTACATGTTGAAATGATAATATTTTGAGTCTACTTGTATAATAAAATAATATTTTGGATCTATTAGGTTAATATTTTGGGTCTGTTGGGTTAATAATATTTTGGGTCCATTGGGTTAACTTAAATTAATTTTATCTGTTTCTTGTTAGCTTTTTAATTTGGATACTAGCAAGTTTGAAAGAATGCATGTGGTTTGCATTATGTTTCTATAGGACAGAACTTACCTGTAGATGTAAGGGAGTCACAACAAAATTACAAGCATTGTTTTTGGTGGAAATGAGAAAAATGATTACAAATTTACATGGAAAAGCAAATAGCCAATAATAATAATAATGGCAATCTTAAAGAGGAAGGAGAAATTAGAGGATTCAGGCTGCCAAATTTTAAGGGGTTCTATAAGGCCACATAAAGTGCAGCATCCTCATGAGAGTGGACACAGAGAGCCACTGAGCAGAAAAGAGTGTGTAAAATACATCTGTGTACACACAGTCCTTTTATAGTTGACAGAGGCTGCCATGCGGATTAAGGTGGAATAGAATGTCTTCTCAGTAAATAACATTGGACCAGAGGGTTACAAGCAGGAAAAAATAAATCTAAGCTTATTTTCACACCATAAAAACACTGCTAATTTTTTATCTTATTATCATACATTTTGATGATTTATTTATAAAATTGATGAATGAAAATTATATACAGTTGTCCTTCACTATTCATGGGTGATTGGTTCCAGGAAACCCCCCTCCCTACCAGACACCAAAATCTGCAGATGCTCAAGCCTGTTGCATGAAATGGCACAGCGTTTGCATATAACCCATGCACATCCTCCTGTATACATGAAATCATCTCTAGATTACTTATAATTCCTGATACAGCCTACACACCACCTCACTTGTGTCCACACAATATAGTATTTTTGCTTTTTGGAACTTTGTGGATTTTTTCTCTGAATATTTTTGATTTATATTTGGTTCAATAAACACCTGTAAACCCCACAGATATGGAGGAGCGACTGTATATTTATAGTATGAAAGATGATGTGTTGACATGTGTCCCTGTGGAGATGAGACTAACAAGGCCTATGACTCTACAAATGTTTCATCTTGGAATGACTCTGCCAGCTTTCCAGGTCTGCAGAGAGTAAGAATATCACTTGTTCATGTGATTCACGATCCTTGGAACCTCCTATGTGCTGCATCTTTGGATGGAAATTGGAGTCCCAGAGACAAATGAGGCTCCACCCTGCTTCCAGAAGCTCAGAGTCCAGGGCTGAGAACCCAGTAGAGAACATATCAGGTTATATGGACATAGTAATGATAACACTGGAAACTTTTGGCGAATAAAGAGTCACATTATCGAAACCATGAGGGCAGACATGTTTATTTGAAGAGGAGAGAGCTACACTGAAGTTATAAAAAAAATTTATAAATTTTACTGATGACAGAAGGCTGAAAGATAGTCTGAGGGGAGGTGGAACAGCATGAGGGAAGGTGGAACAGCAAGTGTGTAAGTGCCGTGTTAAGAGGGAGCCTCTTGTATGTTTGGAATTGTGAGTTCCTCAGTGTGATTGCAGCCTCAAGTAGGACTAGGAAGTAAGCCAGTTAGGTTGGAGAGGTGGGCAGGGGTCAAGTGAAATAGATACTTGTGGGCTAAGCAAAGGAGTGTGTTTTCTCTGCAGCAGGCAGTGGCGACCTTAGGCATTTGTAAGCAAGAGAGAGGCATGTTCAGATTCGTGGTGTGAGGAAGAGCGATCCCCTAAGATGCAGACTGATGCCTTCAGATTCCAGCTGCTGGTTCATTGGATCTGGCAACCTGGTTTTGAGACAGGGCTGTTGTCTCCCTAGAAAACCCCCTCAAGACCTGACTGTGGTGCTCGTGGGCAGGAGACAACTTTGGATCTGGGCTCAGCATTTGGAAGTTCCGTGTACACGCTGGTATCTGTTAGGGGTGTCTTGGGCCTCTGAGAAGGGCGACTGATTTTTCTCTGTATGAAAACGCAGTGATCCAACTGTGCGTACGTCACCTCCTGAGGGTCTTGTTCATCAGAGTCCTGGAGAGAGGGAAATGCTGAGTGAGGGAGGGTGCTCACATTTTTCAGGACTATTAGGGATAAGACTGTATCCGTGAGGCTGGGCCGAGGAGGACCTACCTGCCTATTCACTGTTCTGTCCCCCGCAGGCTCTTGGTCCATTACAGCAGCATCTGTAGGAGACGGAAGTCATCAAAACCGCTTGGAGGGCCCTTCTGGGTCCTCATTTCATGGGCAGACACCAACCCACAGGGGGAGGCTGTAGGTGCCTGAGGCTCTTCAGCTGCCAACATCCAGACTCAGACATTCTATCTCTCTGAGTTCAAGACCCCATCCCATGAAGTGCTCTCAATTGGCATCCCATTGATTCTGTCTCCCACTTTCTGCCTGTCATGGAAGCTTCTGGATGTCAGTGGCTGCAGGGGATGTGAGGATACAGTTCAGAACCAGGCAATGGTCTGTGAGCTGAAGGCAGGGGCAGGTTGTCTGGTGCTCTCTCTAGAAAGCCCTGCCTCTGTGGCTCCTCCCTTGGGCCAGGGACCATCCTGCCAGTGAGGAACACACACCCGCGTGCTCCCATCCTGCTTCCCCACATGGCCCTGAGCTCTCTGGCCTCTGCTTCGTGAGACTTACTCTTTTTGTTGGAGCACCAGCGATAAAGGAGAAAGAAGAGGAGGAGGATGAAGAGGAAGATGACCACTGAGGTCCCAATCAGAACATGCAGGTGTCTGCAGATACCTGGAGGAAGATGGGAATCCAATAAGAAGCTAATCATAGCAGTTCCTCTTTATGGATTGTCTCATTTCTTGATTGACAGGTAACCACATGGAACATCTCCTTAGGACAAGCAGCCTGATGGCGGGAGACCCAGCTTTCTCCTGCTTTCTCAGTTACAGCTCTCATAGAAACCATAGAACATGCTGAGGATACAGCTGCTTTAGTTTAGATGTTTGACCCTTTGAAACCTCACACTGAAATATTGAAATTTAACCCCCAGTGTGGAAGTTTGGGCCTATGGGAAGGTGTTTGAGTCATGGAGGTGGATCCATCATGAATAGATTAATGCTGCCCCACATGATGGGGTTAGCAAGTTCCCCCTCTATTAGTTCCCGGAGGGCTGGTTGTTAAAAAGAGCTTGGAAGCTCCATCGCTCGCCCTCCCCCTTGCTCCCTCTCTTGCCATGTGATCTCTGTGGTCTCTGCACAGACAGACCCTCCTTCCCTTCTGCCAGAGTGGGAGCAGCCTGAGGCCGTCACAGGAAACAGATGCTGGTGCCATGCTTCCAGTACAGCCTGCAGAACTGTGAGGCAAACAAATCTGTTTTCTCTAGAAGTTGCCCAGGCTCTGGGATGCAAGGCTGGTTCAATATATGCAAATCAATAAATGTAATCCATCATATAAACAGAACCAAAGACAAAAACCGGACGATTATCTCAATAGATGCAGAAAAGGCCTTTGACAAAATTCAACAACGCTTCATGCTAAAAACTCTCAATAAATTAGGCATTGATGGGACGTATCTCAAAATAATAAGAGCCATCTATAACAAACCCACAGCCAGTATCATACTGAATGGGCAAAAACTGGAAGCATTCCCTTTGAAAACTGGCACAAGACAGGGATGCCCTCTTTCACCACTCCTATTCAACATAGTGTTGGAAGTTCTGGCCAGGGCAATTAGGCAGGAGAAGGAAATAAAGGGTATTCAATTAGGAAAAGAGGAAGTCAAATTGTCCCTGTTTGCAGATGACATGATTGTATATATAGAAAACCCCATTGTCTCAGCCCAAAATCTCCTTAAGCTGATAAGCAGCTTCTACAAAGTCTCAGGATACAGAATCAATGTACAAAAATCACAAGCATTCTTATACACCAATAACAGACAAACAGAGAGCCAAATCATGAGTGAACTCCCATTCACAATTGCTTCAAAGAGAATAAAATACCTAGGAATCCAACTTACAAGGGATATGAAGGACCTCTTCAAGGAGAACTACAAACCACTGCTCAATGAAATAAAAGAGGATACAAACAAATGGAAGAACATTCCATGCTCATGGGTAGGAAGAATCAAGATCGTGAAAATGGCCATACTGCCCAAGGTAATTTATAGATTCAATGCCATCCCCATCAAGCTACCAATGACTTTCTTCACAGAATTGGAAAAAACTACCTTAAAGTTCATATGGAATCAAAAAAGAGCCTGCATTGCCAAGTCAATCCTAAGCCAAAAGAACAAAGCTGGAGGCATCATGCTGCCTGACTTCAAACTATACTACAAGGCTACAGTAACCAAAACAGCATGGTACTGGTACCAAAACAGAGATATAGATCAATGGAACAGAATAGAGCCCTCAGAAATAATGCCACATATCTACAACTATGTGATCTTTGACAAACCTGAGAAAAACAAGCAATGGGGAAAGGATTCCCTATTTAATAAATGGTGCTGGGAAAACTGGCTAGCCATAGGTAGAAAGCTGAAACTGGATCCCTTCCTTACACCTTATACAAAAATTAATTTGAGATGGATTAAAGACTTAAATGTTAGACCTAAAACCATAAAAACCCTAGAAGAAAACCTAGGCATTACCATTCAGGACATAGGCATGGACAAGGACTTCATGTCTAAAACACCAAAAGCAACGGCAACAAAAGCCAAAATTGACAAACGGGATCTAATTAAACTAAAGAGCTTCTGCACAGCAAAAGAAACTACCATCAGAGTGAACAGACAACCTACAAAATGGGAGAAAATTTTCGCAACCTACTCATCTGACAAAGGGCTAATATCCAGAATCTACAATGAACTCAAACAAATTTACAAGAAAAAAACAAACAATCCTATCAAAAAGTGGGCAAAGGACATGAACAGACACTTCTCAAAAGAAGACATTTATGCAGCCAAAAAACACATGAAAAAATGCTCACCATGACTGGCCATCAGAGAAATGCAAATCAAAACCACAATGAGATACCATCTCACACCAGTTAGAATGGCGATCATTAAAAAGTCGGGAAACAACAGGTGCTGGAGAGGATGTGGAGAAATAGGAACACTTTTACACTGTTGGTGGGACTGTAAACTAGTTCAACCATTGTGGAAGTCAGTGTGGCGATTCCTCAGGGATCTAGAGCTTGAAATACCATTTGACCCAGCCATCCCATTACTGGGTATAAACCCAAAGGACTATAAATCATGCTGCTATAAAGACACATGGACACGTATGTTTATTGTGGCACTATTCACAATAGCAAAGACTTGGAACCAACCCAAATGTCCAACAATGATAGACTGGATGAAGAAAATGTGGCACATATACACCATGGAATACTATGCAGCCATAAAAAATGATGAGTTCATGTCCTTTGCAGGGACATGGATGAAATTGGAAATCATCATTCTCAGTAGACTATCACAAGGACAAAAATCCAAACACCGCATGTTCTCACTTATAGGTGGGAATTGAACAATGAGAACACATGGACACAGGAAGGGGAACATCACACTCTGGGGACTGTTGTGGGGTGGGGGGAGGGGGGAGGGATAGCATTAGGAGATATACCTAATGCTAAATGACGAGTTGATGGGTGCAGCACACCAGCATGGCACATGTATACATATGTAACTAACCTGCACATTGTGCACATGTACCCTAAAACTTAAAGTATAATAATAATAAAAATTTTAAAAAAAAGCTCATCAGAAGCACTATACAAAAAAAAAAAAAAAAAAAAAAGAAGTAACCCAGGCTCAAGTGTTCTTTTATAGCAACAAAAATGGACTAAGACAGCAACGTCCTGAGATCAGGAGGAACGTCTCAGAACAGCCTGTGCTGTCTTCCTGTTCTTCCTGGAGGAGGACGTCATGCAGTGCTTTAGCTGAGTGCTTCCTGTGGCTTCAGGGTACAAAACCCAGGCTGGGCTATTTTCTGGCTTCCCCCAGATACACTGCAAATGAGGTGACTCCATATGTCCCGAGCAGCTTTTCTGAGCCTTGAGGGACTGGCTCACGTTGAAATGTAGGCTTCTGTTGTCACTCGCTGCTTATCTGTTAGTAATGAACCTGCCTATGTAACGTATTCTCTGTGTGTTCTGTCTCCCTGGAGTGACGGTGAGTGATAGAAATTGGCATAGGCCCAGGTGCAGTACAGCA
Organism: Homo sapiens; assembly: GCF_000001405.40. NCBI lineage: Eukaryota > Metazoa > Chordata > Mammalia > Primates > Hominidae > Homo > Homo sapiens. Next base: position 136,605 of record NT_187683.1, on the reverse strand, counting down.
GGTGTTTAGAGTCTTCTCTGGAAAGACTGGACTGGGATTGATACACAGTGAATGTGCTTTACAGTTTCTACATCCACAACCCTCTTGACTCAAATTACATTCTCCAAGAAAAGGACACAAAAGTGAAATCAAGATCAAAAAAGCAAAGTAGAATTCTCTTATGTCAAACAGCCAGGAAATAATGATGAAGCCCATGTGAAACGTGCTACTCTTTGTGATCTCGCGAGACACATGTTAGGCTGCTGTTCCACCTGAGAGGCTGGGGGAAAGACCACCCCCTCCACCATCTATTGCTTCAAAACCACCTGTCCTCCTGTGAATTAGTAGGAAAGGGGAGCAGGAGCTAGTGCTGGTGCTGATCTCTGATTCCAAGATCTGAACTCACTCCAAGGAGTATTAGCGTTTACCTCCCCATGATCTATCTGTATCTCCACAGGTGATTGGAAGTAGGGGTGAGGTGGGGGATTTGGGTGAGGGGGAAAGTTTCTTGTGATGAACAGAGCACTTTCCCTATTTCAGGGCCTGTGCTGGTGGGTTCAGGGGGCTTTCATATTTTCCATATGATCTCATGTTCACAGAAAGCCAAATATGGAAGAGGTTTTAGGCTGATTTTCTAATGGATAAGATAAAGGATCAAAGAAGTAATTATAGAGGAATAGAAAAATGATGATTGGAATTCAGGTGCCTGCATCATTTGTGTATATTATTATATTTATGTATTTTTTATTTTTATTTTTTGAGACAGAGTATCCCTGTGTAGCCCAGGCTGGTGTGCAGTGATGCGATCTCCACTCACTGCAACCTCTGCCTCCAGGGCTGAAGTCATTCTCCTGCTTCCTCCTCCAGAGTAGCTGGGATTACAGTCATGCACCACCATCATGCCTGTTTAATTTTTGTATTTTTAGTAGAGATAGGGTTTCTCCATGTTGGCCAGGCTGGTCTCGAACTCCTGACTTCATGTGATCCACCCGCGTTGGCCTCCTGAAGTGCTGGGTTACAGGCGTGAGCCACCGTTCACAGCCTTGTATATTATGCTATACTAGGTCCCTTCATTTGCACCACCCCTCATCTAGCTCTCCCTCCTCTGCCAGGTATTGATTTAGATGCAGGAGAAATAAATCTCAGAAATAAGTTAGTGAAGCGAGGATTAAACTACCAGGAAAAATTAAACCCAGTAAGCGTTTCCAGTCAATGATTCTACCTCACAAACATATCTTATATCCATCTACTTCATTCATTTAGTGTCTAAATCAGCACCACATTTCACCAGTGGGGCGGCAATTGCCTTTTCCACGGTCTCCTAGATTCCAGTTATGCACCTGAGCCTCCCTTATTTTCATGTCAGTCATATTAATCATGTAGGGATTCCTGGTTACCCCGAGGTGAATCCAAGGGCTGTGAGTGTCAAACACACACTCCTTGTTGCTCCTTAGTTTCCTGTGTACCCAGTGTGCTCTCCGTCTCTCCACAGTCGTCTTGTCATTCTCCCCATCTCATTCCCGGCATTTCAGGCAGAGCCTCTTCCTTCCACATCAGATTGTTTTCACCTTTGTGCCTTCACGGCTGACAGCTGTGTGGAAAATCCTTCTGCCAATCTTCCAGGGGTTCAATCCGTGTTTTTCATTAATGTCACAAATATCTGATTAGTGAGAACTTCTCTGTCACCTGAAATCATACACTCAGCATTATCTATTATTGATTTGAAAATTTGGCTTGGCCCCGTGGCTCATGCCTCTTATCCCAGCGTGTTGGGAGGCAGAGGCTATTGGATCACCTGAGGTTGGGAATTTGAGACCAGCCTGGCCAACATGGTGAAACATCCTCTCTACAGAAAATATGCAAAAAGAGTTAGCCGGGCGTGGTGGTTGTGGTCTGTAATCCCAGCTACTGGAGAGGCTGAGGGAGGAGATCAGTTCAGCCCAGGAGGTGGAGGTTGCAGTGAGCCGAGATCATGCCACTGCACTCTAGCCTGGACGACAGAGCAAGGCTCCGTCTCAATAAACAAGTAGGTAAATACATAAATAAATAGATTTCATGCACAGATGCTTCTCAATAGATCATTCATTTATTGGTCCCCTTGTGCCTACATTTTCTGCCCTCCCATTTAACCATCTGCAAGATCAGTGTCCCAAGAACAGAGGCCAAATGCATCTTGTTCACTGTTTGTGGAAGGCAGGAGAATGTTGTCCCACCCCAAAAATGTCCATGTCCTAGCCTCCATAGCTTGTGAATATGTTATTTTACATGAAAGGAGGAATGAAGATTGCAGATGGAATTATGGTTGCTAGTCAGCTGAACTTAAAAGGAGGGTATCCTGGATGATTTCCGGGAGATTATGATGGATTTTCATCTTGGTGAACCCAATAGAATCCCCAAGTTTTCAAAAGAAGGGCAAGAAGGGAGAGCAGCATTCAGAGAAAGAGGTGTGGTAAGGAAGAAGGGTCTGAGTGATGCCATGTGAGATGTGACCAGTCTTTGTGGGCTTTGAGGAAGGAGGAAGGGTACCAGGAGCCAAGGAACATGGGAGCCTCTAGAAGCTGAGAAAAGTGAGAAGCAGATTCTTGCCTGGAACCCTCAGAGGGAAGGCAGCCTTGCTGTCACCTTGATTTTAGCCCAGTGACATGCACGTCATGCTTTGAGCTACAGCACTGTAAGATAATTAAATAACCGTTTTGTTTTCACCCACGAATCTTGTGGAAATTTGTTATGGCAACAATAGGAAAAGCTTCCACACTGCACAGCCTGAGCATGGGGCCGTGGCTGAATGAGTCAGTGAGTCGAAGTGTGCGTGCATGAGCTCTGTTCTCTGTTACGGCAAGGCTCTTGCTCTGCTGAGTCAGCCAGGGTTGCCTGATGACCAACAGTAATTCATTCCTTGGCAAGTGGAACTTCTCTAAAACACCCACCCTCATCAGATGTTCCCTTCCCTTCCCTCTCTCAAGCCCCCGGGAATTTATCCTCCAGTTAGGAATGCAGGCAGAAAAAACACTGCATTTTTCCTGAGAAGGATGTCAGATTGGCAATTATTCTTCTAGCTTGTAGGAGGTCTCACCTGCAGGAAATTAAAGGTAAAGAGACTTCGCTGAGCCCTTTGGTGGCCCTAGATCCCTTTCACTGTTGGAGTGTCTGGAGTTCAGAGATGGTGGAAGACAGGCCCTCATTCACAGAGCTGGGAGGTTTGAGCCAACACTTGCATCCAAGGCTTCCACCTCCCCAGGTTTCCAAAAGCAGAGATAAGAGGGGTCCTTTACTCACCAGATTTGGAGCTTGGTTCTGTGGGTGAAGGCCAACTACTTGAAGGGTTTCCTAGAACACGGGACAGGAGAGATGTGAGGAAATGAGGGTGCTTGTCCTCTACTCAATGGAAATCTTTGAGGTTGGTTCATGGCCAACACTCTGTTATCTAATGTTGGACCCTGGGAGTCTTGGGATCCTTTTCTCCATAATTTTTGTGTGCGATGCCCACTGTCTTGAGACTTGAAGGTATAAAGAGAAAACAGGAGCATCACACTACCTGACTTAGAAATATGTTACAGAGCTGTAGTAAGCAAAACAGCATGACATTGGCATAAAGAAAGGCACATAAAAAATGGAACAGAATGGAGAACACAGATATAATCCATGCATTTACATCCAATGGCTTTCTTTTGTGTGTGTGTGATAGAATCTTGCTCTGTCATGCAGGCTGGAGTGTAGAGGTGCAATCTCAGCTCAATGCAACCTCCACTTCCTGGATTCAAGAAATTCTCTTGCTTCAAACTCCTGAGTAGTGGTATTACAGGCACTGATCACCATGCTCAGCTAATTTTTGTATTTTTAGTAGAGACGAGGTTTCACTCTGTTGGCCAGCCTGGTCTTGAACTCCTGGCTTTAGGTGATCCACCCGCCTCGGCCTCCCAAAGTGCTGGAATTGCAGGTGTGAGCCACCATACCCAGCCCATTTAATGGACTTTGACAAAGGTGCCGAGAACTTACAATCAGGAAAGGACAGTCTTCAATAAATGGTGTGGGGAAAACTGGATATCTACATGCAGAGGAATAAAACTGCATCTATACCTGTCACCTTACACAAAAATCAAATGAAAATGGATTAAAAACATGAGTCTAAGGCCTGAACCTATGAAACATGTAGAAGAAAATAATGGGGAAGACATTTGTCTGACGAAAGACATTTTGTTTAAAACCTTCAAAACACAAGTAATCAAAGCAAAAAATAGACCATTAGGATTACATCAAACCAAGCAACTTCTGCACCACCAAAGATAAACCAACAAAGTGAAGAGACAACCCACAAAATAGGAGCAAATATTTGCAAACTATTCATCTGAGATGGGATTAATAACTGGAAATATAAGAAGCTCAAACAACTCAATAAAACAATTTAATTAAAAAACGAGCAAAAGACATGAGGAGACATTTCTCCACAAACAAAACATAGAAATGGCGATCATGTATATGAAAAAGTGCTCAGCATCACTCATCATCACAGAAATGTAAATTACAATCGCGATGAGTTTTCATCTCATCCCATTAAAATGCCTTTTAGGCCGGTGGCTCACGCCTGTAATTCCAGCACTTTGGGAGGCGGAGGTGGGCGGATCACCTGAGGTCGGGAGACCAGCCTGACCAACATGGAGAAACTCCCTCTCTACTAAACATACAAAAATTAGCTAGGCGTGGTGGCACATGCCTGTAATCCCAGCTACTTTGGAGGCTGAGGCAGGAGAATCAGTTGAACGCGGGAGGCAGAGGTTGCAGTGAGCCGAGATCACACCCTTGCACTCCAGCCTGGGCGACTATGAGTGAAACTCCATCTCAACATAAATAAATAAATAAATAAAGTAAAGTAAAATGGCTTTTATCTGCAAGACAGGCAAAACAAATGCTGGCAAGATGGTAGAGAAAGGAGAACCCTGGTACCCTGTTGGTAGGAATGTAAATTAGTACAACTATTATGGAGAAAAGTATGGAAAATCTTTAAAAAACTAAAAGGAGGCTGGGCATAGTGGCTTATGCCTGTAACTTCAGCACTTTGGGAAACCGAGGCAGGCACCTCACTTGAGGTCAGGAGTTTGAGAGCAGCCTGCCCAAAATTGGGATATCCCGTCTGTGCTAAAAAATACAAGAATTAGTCAGGCATGGTGGCGTGCACCTGTAATCACAGCTACTAGGGAGGCTGAGTCAGGAGAATCGTTTGAACCTAGGAAGCAGAGGTTGCAATGAGCCAAGATCGCACCACTTTGACTCCAGCTTGGACTAAGGAGGGAAACTCTTTCTCAAAAAAGAAAAAAAAAAAAAGAGAACTTTCATAGTGTCCAGCAATTTCACTACTGGGTTTATATCCAAAGGAAAGGACATCAGTGTATCGAAGTGATATCTGCACTCATATGACTGTTCCAGCACTGTTCACAGTAGCCAAGATGTGGAGTCAACCTACCTGCCTATCAGTGGGTGAATGGATAGAGAACTGTAGTACACACACACGGTGGAGACTACTCATCCATAGAAACAATAACATCCTGTCATTTGCAGCCACATGGATGGAACTCGAGGTCATTACAAAGATTCCCATTTCTCACCACATGCAGGAGATAAAAGGTGGATCTCATGAAGGTAGAGAATAGAATGGTGGATACCAGAGGCCAGGAAGGGAAGGGTGGAGGGTAACAAAAAAAAGAATATAGATGTATTTATTTATTTAGAAACAGAGTCTCTCTCTGTCTCCCAGGCTGCAGTGCAGTGGCATGATCTCGGCTCAGTGCAACCTCTGCCTCCTGGCTTTAAGTGCTTCTCCTGCCTCAGCCTCCCAAGTAGCTAGGACTACAGGTGCATGCCGGCATGCTTGGCTAATTTTTCTTGTCTGTTTAGTAAAGATGAATTTCCCGCATGTTGGCCAGGCTGATCTCGAGTCCCTGATCTTAAATGATCCACCTTTCTTGGCCTCTCAAAGCGCCAAGATTACAACCGTGAACCACCACACCCAGCATATAAAGGTATTTATGACCACTAGATTTTACTTTTAAAAATGGTAAAGTTGGTAAATTATATAGTTACATTTAACCTCAATAAATATTTTTGAAAATGAAAAGAAAAGAGTGTAGGGGTTGCTGGTGATGACATCTCTCTGTGTGGGTGAGAGGCCAGGATGGGCTTCTGGGAAATGGGTAAGGTTGAGGGGCTGAGGGAACCTCTGATCTCCCCAAACTGAGCCCAGTCTCCCCTTCTCTGGGTCTGTCCTGACCGCTTTCTCCATCTGCCTGGGTGCCTGGAGCCCTGACCATGGGCCTCCATGCAGGCCATGCAAGAGGGTTTGGAGGTGCCCTGTCTGCCATCCTGCACCCTGACCCCCCCCTCACACCCAGTCTTCGTGTTCTCTCTGCATCTGTCCATGCTTCTCCCCATCATCGGCAGGAAGCTCCTCAGCTATGGCTCTAGGATCATAAGACATGGGACAGACACGGGTTTTCCTCACCTGTGACAGAAACAAGCAGTGGGTCACTTGAGTTTGACCACACGCAGGGCAGGGCACGGAAAGAGCCGAAGCATCTGTAGGTCCCTCCGTGGGTGGCAGGGCCCAGAGGAAAGTCTGCCTGGAATGTTCTGTTGACCTTGGGCACTGCACGGAGCCTACGTTCATGGGCCTCCCCTTCCCTGGACAGATGGTAGATGTCATAGGAGCTCCAGGAGCTACAGGACAAGGTCACGTTCTCTCCTGCCTGAACCGTGGGGCCCGGCTGGGCTGAGAGAGAAGGTTTCTCATATAGACCTGGAAGGAGAAGAGGCAGTTTCCTCAGGGAGGTTCTTCCTTGTCACAGCTCCCCTCATACCTGAGCTGAGAACTCACTCCCCTGCTCTATGACCTAATGCTCTCTCTCTCTCTCACCCTCCACCCCAACTCTCTTCATGTCTATTTCCTCCTTCCGCCTTCTCTGTCTCTCTAGGTCTCTGACCTCACTTCCCCACCCCTGGGTATGCTTTCCCTTTTTGGATTGTTTTATTCTCTCTGACTCTCCTTGGATTGGTTGACTTGATCTTCCTTTTTCTATAATTCTGAGTCTCTCACTTTCTGTCTTGTTCATAACTTTCTGCATATTTCTATCTATTATCTATCTATCTATTTTGTGTCTATCTACAAATTATCTGTCATCTATATCTATGTATCATTTATCTATCAATTGTCTATCTGTCTATCCATCAATCATCTATGTATTATCTGTATCTATGTATCATCTCTCTCTCTCTCTATTACCTCTCTGTCTGCCTGTCAGTCTCTATGTATCATCTATGTATCTATATATTTATATATGTGTCTTCTATCTATCTATCTTCATCATCATCATCATCATCATCTCTATGTATCATCTATCAATCATCATCTATGTATCTATAACCTATCCATTATCTATCATCTACCTATTTATCATCTATCTATATCTATCTATCCATCTATCATCTGTCTCTCTCCATCTCCTTGTCTTTCTCTGCCTCTCAGTCTCTCTAGTTCTATTTGGAATCTCTGCAATCCATCCCCACATCTTTATCTTTCTCTGTCTTTGTGCCCCTCCCTCAGGGTTCTGATTTTGGGGCTTTTCTCTCCTCCCTTCCAGCATTCTCTCCACTCCTCTGCCCTCTTTTCTTTCTTTTTGTGTGTCTGTGAGTCTCTCAATCCCCTTCCTCTGGCTCATTCTCTGTGTGTTTATGCCTTTGCTTTTTGAAGTCCCTGATTTATCTCTGTGTCTCTCAGTGATCCTATTATATGTAGGATTATTTGGAATATGAGCCTCAGAATCTAGTCTGGGGACACCAAGTACACACAGTATTTAGGGGTTGGTGTTCTGGGGCCATGATATCCTGGGATAATTATGGCTCCACTGCATGGAAGGCAGAGGTGTCAGAATAAACATGGCATCTGTAGATGCCACAAGGCCTGAGGCCACAGGGCCCAACTCAGGTCAGAAATATGGGTGTCCTTGGGTTCTCCTCGTAGAAGCACTTTGTGGAGACAAAACAGAAATGAAACTTCTAACCTGTGCCAGGTCTCTGAGCAAAGTCAGCATGGAAGGACACTTCTCTCTGGCACATGTCTGTCTGTCTGAGTGTCTCCTTTACCTCTTTCTCTCTTTTCTACTTCCCCGTATGGCCCCTGTGTCTGTCCTCTGTTATGACACCTGGTCTGTACTTATGTCTCCTGTTTCCCTGTCTCTGTTGGTACAGACCTCACCGAGTCAGTCTCTCTCCATAAGAATCCCACGCTTATCTTCCTCATGACCACCTGGGGGTTCCAAGTCCTGGATCATTCACTCTGTGTCCCAATGACAATGAGAAGAATGTCTGGACACTCTCACCTGTGATCACGATGTCCAGGGGGTCACTGGGAGCTGACAACTGATAGGGGGAGTGAGGAACAGAACCATAACATCTGTAGGTTCCTGCAAGGACAGGCATCAAGGGACCGATGGAGAAGTTGGCCTTGGAGACCCCATCATGGATCTGTCCAACGAGGCGTGAGGGGTCCTCAGAGATCCCATCTCTGTGCAGAAAGAAGTGCTCAAACATGACATCTGACCAACATTGCAGGATGACTGTCTCTCCTGATTTCAGCAGGGGCCCTGGGTGGGCCAGGAGGGAAGGTTTTCTGTGGTTTCCTAGAAAGAGAAGTTGTGAGTTTAGAAGGCATCTCTCTTTATCATCCCATCCATGGCACCTGGAATGAGTGAGGGTTCCCCTCCCAGAGGTCTGTCTCTCTCCTCCCTCTCTGTGTCTCCGTGTCTTTTCTGTGCCCATATCCCCTGGTGCAGGTCCCTCCATTTGTCTTCCTCCCTCTTCTCTGTCCCTCTGTCTCCAGTAGCCCCTGACTCCCTTCCCACTGTGAAGAGAGCCTCATCTCTTGGGCTGTTGTATCTCTTTCCCACTAGTCTCTTTCCTGCTGTCTATGTGGGGGTGGAAGAGGACAGGCTGCATGTCCAGGCTCTCAGCAGCCTGAATCAATCTCTTTTGAACAAATTGGAGTCTCTGGCAGAGGTATCAACTCATCAGTAAGGCAGACATCAGTGTCCACACACCCTGTTCCTGATGGGGATTGGGAGCCTCTCCTGCCATGTCTGTGCCTTCTCCATGGCCCCAGCTTCCATAGGGTGGTCCCTGGTGCTGGTTCCAGGAGCATCAACCCCTTCCTATGTGGATGGAGCCTGGTGGTGGCATCAGCATCCCACCCTTGCTGATCCCACGGTAGCCAACCTTCTCCTTGTTTGGTTTCTTTAATTAATTGATTAATTAATTTATTTTTGAGACAGTCACTTTTTCACCCAGGCTGGAGTGCAGTGGTGTTGTCTTGGCTCACTGCAACCTCTGCCTCCCCGGTTCAAGTGATTCTCTTGCCTCAGCCTCCCCAGTCGTTGGATTACTCGTGCCCACCACCACACCTGGCTATCCTTGTTTGGTTTCCTAGCTTGTCCTTGACCTGGGTTCCTGTGTCGGTTTCCTGTTGCTGCTGCAGAAAATTATCACAAACATGGCAGCAGGAGAGAACACACTGACCCCTTCCACTTCTGGGGACAGAAATTGGATCCAGTTCTCCCTGTGCTGAAATCAAGGCATCTGCAGGGCTGCGTTCCCTCTGGAGACTCAGCGAATCAGTTCTCTTGACTTCTCCAGCCCTTAGAGGCCACCTGCATTCTGTGACTAGTGGCCTTCCTCCACCTTCAAAGCCCACAGTGGCTGATAGCGTCTCCCTCCCACTACACTGCTCTAATCCCCACTCCCCTCTTCCTCCACCTCTCACGCGGACCCTTGTGATTACACTGAGCCCAGCAGGACAGTCCAGGCTGTCTCCCCATCTCAAGGTCAACTCATCAACAACCTGAGCTCCACCTTCCCCTTCAGTCCCCTGCCCTATAACATAAATAGTCACAGGCTCCAGGGTTTACAATGTAGCCATCATTGGCGACAGTTATTCTTCCCACCACAGCGCCCATTTCCCCTGTATTCAATCTCCCTTGACCCCAAATACAGTTGGGGCCTGGGTGATGGGACCCTGATGGACACCCCCACCAGAAGCTCTGGGATTCAGGAGGTGGGACAGTGAGAAGCCCAGACAGAAAGCCTCTGACCTGTGACCATGATCACCAGGGGGTTGCTGGGTGCCGACCACCCAGTGAGGGAGTGTGGGCGTGAACCCCGACATCTGTAGGTCCCTGCATGTGCTGGGGTCACAGGGCCCATGATGAAGCTCTCCTGGAATATTCTGCCGTGGAAGATGGGAACGTGGCTTCTGTCTTCTTTGTACAGCATGAAATTGTTAAACCCACGACGATAGTGACACTGAAGAGCCACGTGTCCTCCTCGAGGCACCACAGTGCTGGGCCGGGCAGACAGGAAGGGTTTGTCCTGACCACCTGGGGGAGAAGGAGGCACTGCCTTAGAGAGGAGGATGTGGAGCCACCCCTCCCTCCCTGTGCTCAGAAGATTCTCCCATTTCCGCTTTCTAAGGCTCCTACCACACCTGGGTGCCCAGGGCTACAGGAAGGACCCACCCCACATAGACATGGCGTCTCCCTACAACAAGTGTCAGCTGAGAACTTTGAGCAAGTGCTGAATAAGTGACTCTTACTAGATTTTAATACTGCAAAATTACTCACATAAAACAACACAAAGTAGACACGGCATGGAGGGCATGTCCTATGTGAATGGAATATCAGCCAATTCATGAACTGAGCCCCCTCAGAGGATTTGGAATGTCAGGGCCATGGCTGTGGTTTCCCCCCTCTTCTGGTAGAAAGACCGCAGCCACACTGCAGCCCCTACCGTCACGGAAACGCTGGAGGGTGTCAGTTATACCTTTGTCCTCAGAGGACCTGCTGTTCCTAGCACTGCTTCCCTCTCTTTCTCTGCTGCTGACACCACTTCCTCCCTGCACACCCCAGCTTGGAGCACCCCAGTCTCACCCCAGTCTTCACAGAGCTTGACTCAGGAAAGGGAAAGAAAGGCCGGGGAGGGCGAGGTCAGAAATGTGGGCCGAGTATCCAAGGGTCCCCTCTTCCTAGTTTATGAGAGACTCCCCGACAGGACTTCCCTCCTGTTTCAGAAAAATCCTCTTATGTGGGGAGATGACACCCTAAGGTTTGGGGAAGGACTCACCCATGAGTGGCCAGGCCCCCTGCAGCAAGAAGAACCCTGGAAAGAAAGATCATGATAGACGATCCAACTGCAGGCAAACCAGGGCACCCTGCTGCCCCCACTGCACTGTGTGTCTTGGCAGCCAGGCCCTTGCTGGGCTGAAGGTAAACTTAGCCTCCCTGCTACCTGCTGCCAAGAACAGGGCTCTCAGCTGTGGAGAGACCCAGGCTCCAGGCCCAGATCAACACTTCCTGGCCCAGATCTCCACTCCAGGCCCATATCTCCACTCCAGGCCCCTATCTCCACTCCAGGCCCCTATCTCCACTCCAGGCCCATATCTCCACATCAGACCCATATCTCCACTCCAGGCCCAGATCTCCCCTCTAGGCCCATATCTCCACTCCAGGCCCATATCTCCACTCCAGGCCCATATCTCCACATCAGACCCATATCTCCACTCCAGGCCCAGATCTCCACCTGCAGGCCCATATCTCCACTCCAGGCCCATATCTCCACTCCAGGCCCGTATCTCCACTCCAGGCCCATATCTCCACACCCAGGCCCATATCTCCCCTCCAGGCCCATATCTGCACTCCAGGCCCATATTTACACCTCCAGGCCCATATCTCCACACCCAGGCCCATATCTCCACTCCAGGCCCATATCTCCACTCCAGGCCCATATCTTTACCTCTAGGCCGAGATCTCCATCCCCACTCTCCCTCCCTCTATTCCCTTCCAGGACTCACCAACGCACGCCATGCTGACGACAGTGAGCGACATGGTGCTGCCGGTGCAGACAGGAGGCCGCGCCCCAGCTCAGCTCAGCAGCGCACAGGATGTTATTTGGCGCCCTGCCCATGCAGTTTACATGTTGACCACATCATGGGAGGGTGACGTACGCAGGCTCTTTCTACCTTGCATGAGGCCCAGTGGGTGCTCGCTCAAGAGCGGAACATGGCTTCCTGGAAATTGTTGTGACTACAATTGCCACCTTGCATCCTTCACTATGACCAGACTCAAAAGACGTCTCAGATCCAACCTCTCACACATGAGGTGATTGAATTCTGTGCTTACATTAAAGACTTTTGATGTATTTTTGTTTTTATCTGAGATTCAAACTTTTCTTCATGTGTAATGTGCAAAATATCTAAGAGGTATTATTAACATTATCAGAGTAATTGTGACAAAAAGCCATTCTAATTTTCCTGATGAGTTTCTAGTACTAAACCTGAGGCACGAGAATTGCTTGAACCTGGGAGGCGGAGGCTGCAGTGAGCTGAGCTCAAGCCACTGAACTCCAGCTTGGGTGACAGAGGAAGAGTCTGTCTCAAGAAAGAAAAAAAAAAGCAAACTAAATAACCTATAATAACAAATCAGAGAACTCAGGTTACCAAATTTTAAGGGGTTCTATAAGTTTATATGAAATGCAGCATCCTCATGAGAGGGGATACAGAGAACCACTGGGCAGAAAACTGTGTCTAAAATACATCTGTGGATACACAGTCCCTTTATAGTTGACAAAGGCTGCCATGTAGTTTAAGGTGGAATAGAATATTTTCTCAATAAATAACACAGGACCATAGGGTTACACGTAGGAAAAAATAAATCTAAACTTATCCTCACACTATAAAAACACTTCTTATTTTTTATCTTGTTGTTGTAAACTTTTTATGCTTTATTTTTAAGATTGACAAATAAAAATTATATACTGTGGTCCTTCACTATTCCTGGGTGATTGGTTCCAGGATCCCCATTCAGATACCAAAATCTGCAGATGCTCAAGCCCCTTGCATGAAATGGCATAGCGAAGCTGGGCACCGTGGCTCACGCCTGTAATCCCAGCACTTTGGGAGGCTGAGTTGGGTAGATCACGAGGTCAGGAGTTCAAGACCAGCTGGTCCAACATTCTGAAACCCCGTCTCTACTAAAAATACACACACAAAAAAATTTATCTGTGCATGGTGGCACGTGCCTGTAATCCTAGGGGAGGCTACTGGGGAGGCTGAGGGAAGACAATCGCTTGAACCTGGGAGGCAGAGGTTGCAGTGAGCTGAGATCATGCCACTGCACTCCAGCCTGGGTGAGAGAGTGAGACTGTCTCAAAAAAAAAAAAAAATAGCATAGCAATTGCATAGAACCCATGCACATCCTCCTGTATACATGAAATCATCTCTTGATTACTTATAATTCCTGACACAGCCTACACGCCACTCAATTTGTGTCGATTCAACATAGTTTTTTGCTTCTTGAAACTTCGGGGATTTTTTTCTGAAAATATTTTTGATTTATTGTTGGTTCAATAAACACCTGTAAACCCCACAGATATGGAGGACCGACTGTATATTTATATTATGAAAGATGATATGTTGATATGTGTCCCCGTGGAGATGAGACTAACAAGGCCTATGTCTCTACAAATGTTTCATCGTGGAATGACTCTGCCAGCTTTCCAGGTCTGCAGAGAGTAAGAATATCACTTGTTCATGTGATTCACGATCCTTGGAGCCTCCTATGTGCTGTATCTTTGGATGGAAATTGGAGTCTCAGAGACAAATCAGGCTACATTCTGCTTCCAGAAGCTCAGAGTCCAGGGCTGAGAACCCAATGGAGAACAGATGGGGTTATGTGGACATGGTAATGATAACACCGGAAGCCTTAGGCAAGAAAAGAGTCTCGTTACCGAAACCATGAGGGCAGACATGTTTATTTGAAGGCGGGAAAACTACATTGAAATTATTTAAAAAATTTATAAGTTTTACTGCTGGCAGAAGGCTGAAAGATAGTCTGAAGGGAGGTGGAACAGCACGTGTCTAAGTGCTGTGTTAAGAGGCAGCCTCTTGTATGTTTGGAATTGTGAGTTCCTCAGTGTGATTGCAGCCTCAGGTAGACTAGGAAGTAAGCCAGTTAGGTTGGAGAGGTGGGCAGGGGTCAAGTGAAATGGAGAATTGTGGGCTAAGCAAAGGAGTGTGTTTTCTCTCCAGCAGGCAGTGGGGACCTTAGACATTTGTAAGCAAGAGAGAGGCATGTTCAGATTCGTGGTGTGAGGAAGAGCGATGCCCTAAGATGAAGACTGATGCCTTCAGATTCCAGCTGCTGGTACATGGGAGCTGGCAACCCGGTTTTGAGACAGGGCTGTTGTCTCCCTAGAAGATCCCCTCAAGGCCTGACTGTGGTGCTCGTGGACAGAAGACAACTTTGGATCTGGGCTCAGCATTTGGAAGTTCTATGTACATGCTGGTATCTGTTGGGGGTGTCTTGGGCCTCTCAGAAGGGCGAGTGATTTTTCTCTGTGTGAAAACACAGTGATCCAATTATGCGTATGACACCTCCTGATGGTCTTGTTCATCAGAATCCTGGAGAGAGGGAAATGCTGAGTGAGGGAGGGTGCTCACATTTTTCAGGACTCTTTGGGAATAAGACTAGCCACGAGGCTGGGCCGAGGAGCACCTACCTCGCTGTTCACTGTTCTGTTCCCTGCAGGCTCTTGGTCCATTACAGCAGCATCTGTAGAAGACGGAAGTCAACAAAAGAGCTCGGAGGGCACTTCTGGGTCCTCATTTCATAAGCAGATACCAACAAACAGGGGGAGGCCATAGGTGCCTGAGGTCCCTCAGTTGCCAACAGCAGACTCAGACATTCTATCTCTCTGAGTTCAAGGACCCATCCCATGAATAGCTCTGAGTTCCCATCCCATTGATTCTATCTCCCACTTTCTGCCTGTCATGGAACCTTCTCCTGGATGTGAGTGGCTGCAGGGGACGTGAGGATACAGTTCAGAATCAGGCAATGGTCTGTGAGCTGAAGGCAGGGGAAGGGAATCTGGTGCTCTCTCTAGAAAGTCCTGCCTCTGTGGCTCCTGTCTTGGGCCAGGGACCATCCTGCTGGTGAGGAACACACATCCGCGTGCTCCCATCCTGCTTCCCCACATGGCCCTGAGCTCTCTGGCCTCTGCTTCGTGAGACTTACTTTTTTTGTCGGAGCACCAGCGATGAAGGAGAAAGAAGAGGAGGATGGTGAAAGGGATTTTGACCACTGAGGTCCCAATCAGAACATGTAGGTGTCTGGGGTTACCTGGAAGAAGAGGAGACACCAATAAGAAGCTAATCATAGCAGTTCCTCTTTATGAATTGTCTCGCATTTCTTGATTGGCAGGTAACCACATACAACGTCTCTTTAGGACAAGCACCCAAATGGCGGGAGACCTAGCTTTCCCCTGCTTTCTCAATTATAGCTCTCATAGTAACCATAGAACGTGCTGAGGATACAACTACTTTAGTTGAGATGTTTGACCCTTTCAAACCTCACATTGAAATTTCACCCCCATTGTGGGAGGTTGGGCCTCTTCAGAGGTGTTTGGGTCATGGAGGTGGATCCATCATGAACAGATCAATGCTGTCCCAAGGAGACGGGGTTAGCAAGTTCCCCCTCTGTTAGTTCCTGGAGAGCTGGTTGTTAAAAAGAGCTTGGAAGCTCCATCGCTCCCTCTCCCCCTTACTCTCTCTCTTGCCGTGTGATCTCTGCGGTCTCTGCACAGACAGACCCTCCTTCCCTTCTGCCAGAGTGGGAGCAGCCTGAGGCCGTCAAGAGAAATAGATTCTGGTGCCATGCTTCCAGTACAGCCTGCAGAACTGTGAGGCAAACCAATCTCTTTTCTTTAGAAGTTACCCAGGCTCAAGTGTTCCTTTAGAGCAACAAAAATGGACTAAGATAGCAACATCCTGAGATCAGGAGGAATGTCTCAGAACAGCCTGGGCTGTCTTCCTGTTCTTCCTGGAGGAGGACGTCATGCAGTGCTTTAGCTGAGTGCTTCCTGTGGCTCCAGGGTACAAAACCCAGGCTGGGCTGCTTTCTGGCTTCCCCCAGTTACACTGCAAATGGGGTGACTCCATATGTCCCGAGCAGCTTTTCTGAGCCTTGAGGGACTGGCTCACATTGAAATGCAGGCTTCTGTTGTCACTCGCTGCTTATCTGTTAGTAATGAACCTGCCTATGTAACGTATCCTCTGTGTGTTCTGTCTCCCTGGAGTGACGGTGAGTGATAGGAATTGGCATAGGCCCAGGTGCAGTCCAGGATTTGTTTAGAGTCTTCTCTGGGAAGACTGCACTGGGATTGATACACAGCGAATGTGCTTTAGGATTTCTACATCCACAGCATTCTTGAGTCAAACAAATTGCATTCACCAAGGAAAGGAAACAAAGGTGAAATCACGATTAAAAATAGCGAAGCAAGATTCTCTTATGTCAAACAGCCAGAAAATAGTGTTGAAGCCCGTGTGAAATGTGCTGCTCTTTGTGATCTCGGGAGACACATGTTAGGCTGCTGTTCTACCCGAGAGGCTGGGGGAAGGACCACCCCCTCCACCATCTATTGCTTCAATACCACCTGTCCTCCTGTGAATTAGTAGGAAAGGGGAACAGGAGCTAGTGCTGTCGCTGATCTCTGATTCCAAGATCTGGACTCACTCCAAGGAATATTAATGTTTCCTCCCCATGGTCTATCTGAATCTCCACAGGTGATTGGAAGTAGGGGTGAGGTGGGCGATTTGGGTGAGTGGGCAAGTTTTTTTTTGCGATGACCAGAGCACTTTCTCTATTCCAGGATCCGTGCTGGAGGATTCAGCGGGCTTTCACATTTTCTATGTGATCTCATGCTCACAGAAAGCCAAATAGGGAAGAGGTTTTAGGCTGATTGCCTAATGGATAAGATAAAGGATCAAAGAAGTAATTATAGAGAAATAGAAAAATGATGATTGGAATTCAGGTGCCTTTGTCATTCGTGTGTGTTTTATTATATTTATGCATTTCTTATTTTTATTTTTTGAGACGGAGTCTCCTTGTGTCACCCAGGCTGGAGTGCAGTGATGCAATCTCCACTCACTGCAACCTCCACCTCCTGGGTTGAAGTCATTCTCCTGCTTCATCCTCCAGAGTAGGAGCTGGGATTACAGGGATGCACCACCATGCTCGGCTAATTTTTGTATTTTTAGTACAGATAGGGTTTCACCATGTTGGCCAGGCTGGTCTGGAACTCCTGACTTCATGGAATCCACCCGCCTTGGCCTCCTGCAGGGCTGGGTTACAAGCATGAGCCACCGTTCACAGACTTGTATATTATGCTATAATAGGTCCCTTCATTTCCACCACCCCTCATATATCTGTCACTCCTTTGCCAGGTATTGATTTATGTGTAGGATGAATAAATCTCAGAAAGAAATTAATTAAGCGAGGATTAAACAAGTAGGAAAATCAAACCCAGCAAGCCTTTCCAGCCAATGATTCTACCTCACAAGCATATCTTATATCCATCTACTTCATTCATTTAGTGTCTAAATCAGCACCACATTTCACCAGTGGGGCGGCAATTGCCTTTTCCACAGTCTCCTAGATTCCAGTTACGCACCTGGGCCTCCCTTATTTTCTTGTCAGTCACTATTAATCATGTAGGGATTCCTGGTTACCCCGAGGTGAATCCAATGGCTGTGAGTGTCAAACACACACTCCTTGTTCCTCCTTAGTTTCCTGTGTACCCAGAGTGCTCTCCATCTCTCTACAGTCATCTTGTCATTCTCCCCACCTCATTCCCAGCATTTCAGGCAGAGCCTCTTCCTTCAACATCAGATTGTTTTCACCTTTGTGCCTTCACAGCTGACAGCTGTGTGTGGAAAATCCTTCCGCCAATCTTTCAGGGGTTCAATCCGTGTTTTTCATTAATGTCACAAATATCTGATTAGTGAGACCTTCTCTGTCACCCAAAATTATACACTCAGCATTATCTATTATTTATTTTGAATTCTGGCTGGGCAAAGTGGCTCACGCCTGTAATCCCAGTACTTTGGGTTGCTGAGATGGTCGGATCACTTGAGGTTGGGAGTTTCAGACAAGCTTGGCCAACATGGTGAAACATCCTCTCTACAAAAAATATACAAAAAGAATTAGCCGGGCATGGTGGCAGTTGCCTGTAATCCCAGCTACTCGAGAGGGTGAGGCAGGAGAATCACTTGGATCCAGGAGACGCAGGTTGCAGTGAGCCAAGATCGTGACACTGCACTGTAGCCTGGAAGACAGAGGGAGACTCTGTCTCAATAAACAAACGAACAAACAAACAAATAGATTTCATGCACAGATGCTTCCCAATGGATCATTCATTTATTGGTCCACTTGTGCATTCATTTTCTGTCCTCCCATTTAACCATCTGCAATATCAGTGTCCCAAGAGCAGAGGCCAAATGCATCTTGTTCACCATTTGTGGAAGGCAGGAGAATGCTGTCCCACCCCAAAATGTCCCTGTCCTAGCCTCCATAGCTTGTGAATATGTTATTTTACATGGAAAGGAGGAATGAAGATTGCAGATGGAATTATGGTTGCTAATCAGCTGAACTTAAAACAAGGGTATCCTGAATGATTTCCGGGAGATTATGACGGATTTTCATCTTGGTGAACCCAATAGAATCCCCAAGTTTTCAAAAGATGAGGAAGAAGGGAGAGCAGCATTCAGAGAAAGAGGTGTGGTAAGGAAGAAGGGTCTGAGTGATGCCATGTGAGATGTGACCAGTCTTTGTGGGTTTTGAGGAAGGAGGAAAGGGACCAGCAGCCAAGGAACTGGGAGCCTTTATAAGATGGGACAAGTGAGAAGCAGATTCTTGCCTGGAATCCTCAGAGGGAAGGCAGGCTTGCTGTCATCTTGATTTTAGCCCAGTGAGATGCACTTCATGCTTTGAGCTAGAGCACTGTAAGATAATTAAATAACCGTTTTGTTTTCACCCACGAATCTTGTGGAAATTTGTTATGGCAACAATAGGAAAAGCTTCCACACTGCACAACCTGAGCATGGGGCCGTGGCTGAATAAGTCAGTGAGTCAAAGTGTGCGTGCATGAGCTCTGTTCTCTGTTACGGCAAGGCTCTTGCTCTGCTGAGTCAGCCAGGGTTGTTTCATGACCAACAGGAGCTCATTCCTTGGCAAGTGGAACTTCTCTAAAACACCTCGCCCTCATCAGATGTTCGCTTCCCTTCCCTCTCTCAAGCCCCCAGGAATTTATCCTCCAGTTAGGAATGCAAGCAGAACAAACATTGCGTTTTTCCTGAGAAGGATGTCAGATTGGCAATCATTCTTCTAGCTTGTAGGAGGTCTCAGCTCCATAAAATGAGAGATGAAGAGATTTCACTGAGCCCTGTGTTGGGCCCAGATCCCTTTCGCTGTTGGAGTATCTGGAGTTCGGAGATGGTAGAAGACAGGCGTACAATGTCAGAGCTGTGAGATGCTGAGTCAACGCCTGAATCCAAGGTTTCCACCTCCCCAGGGTTCCAAAAGCGGATATAAGAGGGTCCTGTACTCACCGGTTTTGGAGCTTGGTTCAGTGGGTGAAGGCCAACTATTTGAAGGGTTTCCTAGAACATGAGACAGGAGAGAGGTGAGGAAATGAGGGTGTCTGTCCTCTACTCAGTGGAAATCTTTGAGTTTGGTTCATGGCCAACACTCTGTTATCTAACATTGGGCCCTGGGAGTCCAGGGATCCTTTCTTCCATAATTTTTGTATGTGACGCCCACTGTCTTGAGACTTCAAGGTATAAAGAGAAAACAGGAGCATCACACTACCTGATCTCAAAATATGTTACAGAGCTGTAGTAAGCAAAACAGCATGATGTTGGCATGAAGAAAGGCACATAGAACAACGGAGCAGAATGAAGAACACAGATATAATCCATGCATTTACATCCAATTTTTTTTATTTTTTCTTTTGAGATGGAGTCTCGCTCTGTCACCCAGGCTGGAGTGCAGAGGTGCAATCTCGGTTCACTGCAACCTCAGCCTCCTGGGTTCAATCAATTCTCTTGCCTCAAACTCCTGAGTAGTAGTATTACAGGTGCTGACCACCATGCTCAGCTAATTTTTATATTTTTAGTGGAGACGATGTTTCATCACGTCGGCCAGAGTAATCTTGTACTCCTGTCCTCAGGTGATCCACCAGCCTTGGCCTCCCAAAGTGCTGAAGTTGCTGGTGTTAGCCACCATGCCCAGCCCATCCAATGGACTTTGACAAAGGTGCCAAGAACTCACAATCAGGAAAGGACAGTTTTTTCAATAAACAGTGCAGGGAAACCTGGACATCTACATGCAGAGGAATGAAACTGCACCTCTACCTGTCACCATACACAAAAATCAAATGAAAGTGGATTAAAGATGTGAGTCTAAGGCCTGAACCTGTGAAACACGTAGAAGAAAATATTGGGGAAATGCTCCAGTACATTTGTCTGAAGGAAGACATTTTGTTTTAAACCTTCAAAACACAAGTAATCGAAGCAAAAATAGACCATTGGGATTACCTCAAACTAAGCAACTTCTGCACCGCTAAAAATAAACCAACAAAGTGAAGAGACAACCCACAGATTGGGAGCAAATATGTGCAAACTATGCATCTGAGACGGGATTAATAACTAGAAGTATAAGAAGCTCAAACAACTCAATAAAACAAATGATTTAATTGAAAAAGGAGCAAAAGACATGAAATTTCCCCACATACGAAAAAGTGCTCAGTATCACTCATCATCAGAGAAACGCGAATTAAAATCAAAGTGAGTTTTCATCTCACCCCATTAAAATGGCTTTTAGGCCGGGCGAGGTGGCTCACGTCTGTCATCCTAGAACTCTGAGAGCCCGAGGTGGGCGAATCTCATAAGGTCGGGAGTTTGAGACCAGTCTGACCCACATGGAGAAACGCTGTCTCTACTAAAAATACAAAAATTAGTCGGGCGTGGTGGTGTGTGCCTGTAATTCCAGCTACTCGGGAGGCTGAGGCAGGAGAATCGCTTGAACCTGGGAGGTGGAGGTTGCGGTGAGCCGAGATCGCACCACTGCACTCCAGCCTGGGTGACAAGAGCGAAACTCCATCTCAAAATAAAATGAAATAAAATAAAATGGCTTTTAGCTGCAAGACAGGCAAAACAAATGCTGGCAAGGTGGTAGAGAAAGGAGAACCCTGGTACCCTGTTGGTAGGAGTGTAAATTAGTACAGCCATTACGGAGAAAAGTATGGAAGTCCTTTAAAGAACTAAAAAGAGGTTGGATGAAGTGGATCATGCCTGTAATCCCGGCACTTTGGGAGACCGAGGCGGGCACCTCAGTTGAGGTCATGAGTTTGAGAGCAGCCTAGCCAACCTGGGGAAACCCCATGTACACTAAAAAAAACCAAAAAGTATCCCGGCATGGTGGCGTGCACCTGTAATCCCAGCTACTAGGGAGGCTGAGGCAGGAAAATCATTTGAACCCAGGAGGCGGAGGTTGCAATGAGCCAAGATCACATCACTTGTACTCCAGCCTGGGCACAGAGGGAAACTGTCTCAAAAACAAAAACAAAACAACAAACGAAAAACTAAAAAGAGAACTTTCATAGTATCCAGCAATTTCACTACTGGGTTTATATCCAAAGGAAAGTAAATCAATGTATCGAAGTGATATCTGCACTCGTATGATTGGTGCAGCACTCTTCACAGTAGCCAAGATGTGGAGTCAACCTACCTGCCCATCAGTGGATGAATGGATAGAGAGAATGTAGTACATACGCACAGCGGAGACTACTCATCCATAGAAAGAATAACATCCTGATATTTGCAGCCACATGGATGGAACTGGAAGTCATTACAAATATTCTCATTTCTCACCCATATACAGGAGCTAAAAGGTGGATCTCATGAAGATAGAGAGTAGAATGGTGGCTACCAGAGGCCAGGAAGAAAAGGGTGGAGGATAAAACAAACAAACAAAAAATTTATATGTATGTATTTATGACCACTAGACCTTACACTTAAAATTGGTAAACGTGGCCGGGCGCGGTGGCTCATGCCTGTAATCCCAGCACTTTGGGAGCCTGAGGCGGGTGGATCACGTGGTCAGGAGTTCCAGAGCAGCTCGACCAACATGGTGAAACCCCCTCTCTACTAAATATACAAAAAGTAGCCCGGCGTGGTGATGGGCGCCTGTAGTACCAGCTACTCAGGTGGCTGAGGCAGGAGAATCGCTTGAACCCAGGAGGCGGAGGTTACAGTGAGCTGAGATTGTGCCACTGCATTCCAGCATAGGAGACAGAGCTAGACTCCACCTCAAAAAAAAAAAAATGTTAAAAGTGGTAAGCTATATAGGTATATTTAACCTCAATGAATATTTTTTCAAACAAAAAGAAAAGGATGTAGGGGTTGCTGGTGATGACATCTCTGTGTGGGTGAGAGGCCAGGAAGGGCTTCTGGGAAATGGGTAAGGTTGAGGGGCTGAGGGAACCTCTGATCTCCCCAAACTGAGCCCAGTCTCCCCTTCTCTGGGTCTCTCCTGACCGCTTTCTACATCTGCCTGGGTTTCTGGAGCCCTAATCGGAGGCCTCCATGCAGGCCATGCAGGAGGGTTTGGAGGTGCTGTGTGTGCCATCCTGCGCCCTGATCCCTCCCTCACAGGCATGCTGCGTCTTCTCTCTGCATCTGTCCATGCTTCTCTCCATCATCAGCAGGAAGCTCCTCAGCTAAGGCTCTAGGATCATAGGACATGGGACAGATATGGGGTTTCCTCACCTGTGACGGAAACAAGCAGTGGATCACTCGAGTTTGACCACTCGTAGGGAGCGTCACGGAAAGAGCCGAAGCATCTGTAGGTCCCTCCGTGGGTGGCAGGGCCCAGAGGAAAGTCGGCCTGGAATGTTCCGTTGATGCTGCGCACTGCAGGGAGCCTACGTTCATGGGCCTCCCCTTCCCTGGATAGATGGTACATGTCATAGGAGCTCCGGGAGCTGCAGGACAAGGTCACATTCTCTCCTGCCTGAACCGTGGGGCCCGGCTGGGCTGAGAGAGAAGGTTTCTCATATAGACCTGGAAGGAGAAGGGGCAGTTTCCTCAGGGGGGATCTTCCTTGTCACAGCTCCCCTCACACCTGACCTGAGAACTCACTCCCCTGCTCTATGGCCTAATGCTCTCTTTCTCTGTCTCACCCTCCACCCTATCTCTCTTCATGTCTATTTCCTCCTTCCACCTTCTCTGTCTCTGTAGGTCTCTGACCTCACTTCCCTACCTCTAGTTATGTTTTCCTTTTTTGGATTGTTTTATTCTCTCTGGCTCTCCTTGGATTGGTTGACTTGATGTTACTTTTTTTAACTCTGAGTTTCTCAGTTTGTGTCCCGTTCATAACTTTCTGCATATTTCTATCTATTATCTATCAATCCATCTATTTATCTATTCGGTGCCTATCTACAAATTCTCTACCTGTCATCTATATCTATATATCATCTATTTATCTATCAATTGTCTATCCGTCAATCATCTATTATCTATATATATGTATCATCTCTCTCTCTCTATTATTTCTCTCTTTGTCTTCCTCTCTATCTCTATGTATTATCTATCCATCTATCTTCATCATCATCATCTCTATGTATCATCTATTAATGAATCAATCAATCATCATCTATGTATCTATAACCTATTATCTATCATCTACCTATATATCATCTATCTATATCTATCCATCATCTATCTGTATCTATCCATCTATCATCTGTCTTGCTCTGCCTCTCGGTCTCTCTAGTTCTCTTTGGAATCTCTGCAATTCATCCCCACATCTCCATCTTTCTATGCCCTTGTGCCTCGCCCTCAGGACTCTAATTTTAGTGGTTTTCTCTGCTCTCTTCCATCATTCTCTCCACTTCTCTGCCCTCTTCTCTCTCTTTATGTGTCTGTGAGTCTCTCAATCTCCTTCCTCTGGCTCTTTCTCTGTGTGTTTATGTCTTTGCTTTTTGGTGTCCCTGATTTCTCTCTGTGCTTCTCAGTGATCCTCTCATATGTGATATGTGGGGTTATTTGGAATGTGAGCCTCAGAATCCAGTCTGGAGACCACAAGTTCACACAGCATACAGGGGTTGGTGTTCTGGGGCCATGATATTTTGGGACGATTATTCTCCATTGCATGGAAGTCAGAGGTGTCAGAATAAGCATGGCATCTGTAGGTGCCACAAGGCCTGAGGCCACAGGGCCCAACTCAGGTCAGAAATATGGGTGTCCTTGGGTTCTCCTGGTAGAGAACACTTTGTGGAGGTAAAACAGAAATGAAACTTCTAACCTGTGCCAGGTCTCTGAGCAAAGTCAGCATGGAAGGACACCTCTGTCTGGGACATGTCTGTCTGTCTCCTTTAACTCTTTCTGTCTTTTCTAACTCCCGGTATGGCCCCTGTGTTTGTCCTCTGTTATGACACCTGGTCTGTACTTGTGTCTCTTGTTTCTCTGTCTCTGTTGGCACAGACCTCACCAAGTCAGTCTCTCTCCATAAGAATACCAAGCTCATCTTCCTTACAACCACCTGGGTCTCCAAGTCCTGGATCATTCACTCTGCATCCCAATGACAATGAGAAGAATGTCTGGACACTCTCACCTATGATCACCATGTCCAGAGGGTCACTGGGAGCTGACAACTGATAGGGGGAGTGAGGAACAGAACCGTAGCATCTGTAGGTTCCTGCAAGGACAGGCATCATGGGACCAATGGAGAAGTTGGCCTTGGAAACCCCATCATGGTGCTCTCCAATGAGGTGCAAAGTGTTGTTAAACTTCCCCTCTCTGTGCAGAAGGAAGTGCTCAAACATGACATCCGACCAACATTGCAGGATGACTGTCTCTTCTGATTTCACCAGGTGACCTGGGAGGGCCAGGAAGGAAGGTTTTCTGTGGACTCCTAGGAAGAGAGGTTGTGAGTTTAGAAGGTGTCTCTCTTTATCATCCCATCCATGGCACCTGGAATGAGTGAGACTTCCCTTCGCTGGTGTCTGTCTCTCTGCTTCCTCTCTGTGTCTTCATGTTCTTTTCTGTGCCCATAACTCCTGGTGCAGGTCCTTCCATCTGTCTCCCTCCCTCTTCTCTGTCCCTCTGTCTCTAGTAGCTGTGATTCCCTTCCCACTGGGCTCAGCCTCATCTCTTGGGCTGTTGTATCTATTTCACACTAATGTCTTTCTTACTGTCTATGTGGGAGTGGAAGAGGAAGCAGGATAGGCTGCACGTCCCGGCTCTTAGCAGCCTGGTTCAATCTCTTTTGGACGAATTGGAATCCTTGGCAGGAGGTATGAACTGATCAGTAAGGCAGGCACCAGTGTCCACACACCCTGTTCCTGGTGGGGACTGGGAGCCACTCTTGCCATGTCTGTGCCTTCTCCATGGTGCCAGTTTCCATAGGCTGGCTCCTCGTGCTGATTTGAGGAGTATCAACCCCTCCCTATGTTGATGGAGCCTGGTGGTGGCATCATCATCCCACCCTTGCTGATCTCGGTGTAGCCAACCTTCTCTTTGTTTGGTTTCTTTAATTAATTAATTAATTTTGGAGACAGAGTCTCACTCCTTCACCCAGGCTGGAGTGAAGTGGTGTGGTCTACGCTCACTGCAACCTCTGTCTCCTGGGTTCAAGCGATTCTCCTGCTCTCAGCCTCCCGAGTCGCTAGGATTACATGCACCTGCCACCATGCCTGGCTATCCTTGTGTCTTTTCTTAACTTGTCCTTGACCTGGGTTCCAGTGTTGGTTTCCTGTTGCTGCTGTAGAAAATTATCAGAAGCATGGCAGCAGGAGAGAGCACACTGACCCCCTCCGATTCTGGAGACAGAAAGCGGACCCTGTTTTTCGAGGGCTAAAATCAAGGCATCTGCAGGGCTGTGTTCCCTCTGGAGACTCAGGAGAATCAGTTACTTGACTTTCCCAGCCTCTATAGGCCACCTGCATTCATGGCTTATGGCCTTCATCCACCTTCAAAGCTAATGGAGTCTCCCACTACGCTGCTCTAATCCCCACTCTCCTCTTCCTCCTCCTTTCATGTGGACACTTGTGATTATATTGAGCCCACCGGGACAGTCCAGGCTGTCTCCCCATCTCAAGGTCAACTCATCAACAACCTGAGCTCCATCTTCCCCTTCAGTCCCTTCCCCTATAACATAAATAGTCACAGACTCCAGGGATTAGAATGCAGTCATCACTGGGGACACTTATTCTTCCCACCACAGCACCCATTTCCCTGTATTCAATCCCCCTTTACCCCAAATACAGTTAGGGCCTGCATGATGGGACCCTCAAGGACATGCCTACCAGAAGCTCTGGGATTCAGGAGGTGGGACAAGGAGAATCCCAGACAGGAGCCCTCTGACCTGTGACCATGATCACCAGGGGGTTGCTGGGTGCCGACCACCCACTGGGGGAGTGTGTGTGTGAACCCCGGCATCTATAGGTCCCTGCATGTGACGGGGTCACAGGGCCCATGAAAAGGCTTTTCCAGAATATTCTGTTGTACAGCTCAGGGACAGGCACCCCATCATCCTTGTACAGACTGAAGTTGTTAAACCCAAGATTAGAGTGACACTGAAGAGTCACATGTTCTGGAGGCACCACAAGGCTGGGCCAGGTAGAAAGCAAGGGCTTGTCCTGACCACCTTGGGGTGAAGGAGGCGCCGCCTTAGAGAGGAGGATGTGGAGCTGTGCCTCCCTCCCTGTGCTCAGAAGATTCTCCCCACTTTCCACATTTCTATGGCTGCTATCACACCTTGGTGCCTAGGGCTAAAGGAAGGACCCATCCCACAAAGACAAGGTGTCTCCGTACAACAAAAGTGTCAGCTGAGAACTTTGAGCAAGTGCTGAGTAAGAGACTCCTACTAGATTTTAATACTGTAAGATTACTGACATAAAACAACACAGGGTAGACATGAAGTGGAGGGCATGTCCTTTGAGAATGGAATATCAGCAGTTGCCTGAATGAAAATAAAAAACTTAGCCCCCATCAGAGGATTTGGAATGTCAGGGCCATGGCTGTGGTTTCCCACCTCTTCTGGTAGAATGACAGCAGCCACACTGCAGCCCCTACCGTCATGGAAACGCTGAAGTGTGTGAGTAACACCTTTGTCCTCAGAGGATCTGCTGTTCCTACCACTTCCCCACCACACAACCCAGCTTTGAACACCCTAGTCCAACCCTGGTCCCCACACAACTTGACTCTGCCAAGGGGTTGAGAGGCCAGGGAGGCAAGGTCGGAACTGTGGGCCGAGCACCCCAGGGTCCCCTCTTCCTAGTTTATGAGAGACTCCCTGACAGGACTTCCCTCCCGTTTCAGGAAAATCCTCTTATGTGGGGAGATGACACCCTAAGGTTTGGAGAAGGACTTACCCTCCTGTGGCCAGGCCCCCTGCAGCAAGAAGAACCCTGGAAAGAAAGATCATGATGGAAGATCCATTTGCAGGCAAACAAGGCCTTCCTTGCTGCCCCCACTGGGCTGTGAGTCTTGATAGCCAGCCCCTTCCTGGGCCGAAGGTAAACTCACCATCAGTGCCTACCTGCACCCAAGAACAGTGCTCTCGGCTGTACAGAGACCCAGCCTCCAGGCCCATATCCCGACCCCAAGCCCATATCTCCACTCCAGGCCCATATCTCCACTCCAGGCCGATATTTCCACCCTAGACCCATATAGCCAATCCGGGCCCACATCTCCAATCCAGGCTCAGATCTCCACCCTCGGCCCATATCTCCAATCCAGGCCCATATCTCCACTCCAGGCCCATATCTCCACTCCAGTCCCATATCTCCTCTCCAGTCCCATATCTCCACTCCAGGCCCATATCTCCACCCCAGGCCCAGATCTCCACCTCCAGGCCCATAACTACACTCCAGGATCATATCTCCACTCCAAGCCCATATCTCCACATCAGGCCCATATCTCCACTCCAGTCCCATATCTCCACACCCAGGCCCATATCTCCATTCCAGGCCCATATCCCCATCCTAGGCCCATATCTCCACCGTAGGCCCAGATCTCCACTCCAGGCCCATATCTCCACTCCAGGGCCATATCTCCACTCCAGGCCCATATCTACACACCAGGCCCATATCTCCACCCCATGCCCATGTCTCCACTCCAGACCCATATCTCCACCCCACGCCCATATCTCCACTCCAGGCCCATATCTCCAACCCACGCCCATATCTCCACCTCCAGGCACATATCTCCACCCCACGCCCGTATCTCCACTCCAGTCCCATATCTCCACTCCCGGCCCATGTCTCCACCCCATGCCTATATCTCCACTCCAGTCCCATATCTCCACTCCAGGCCCATATCTCCACTCCAGACCCATATCTCCACTCGGCCCATGTCTACACTCCAGGCCCATATCACCACCTCCAGGCCCATATCTCCACTCCAGGCCCATATCTCCACCTCCAGGCCCGTATCTCCACTCCAGACCCATATGTCCACTCCAGGCCCATATCTCCACTCCAGGCCCATATCTCCACTCCAGGGCCATATCTCCACTCCAGGCTCATATCTCCACTCCAGGCCCATATCTCCACTCCAGGGCCATATCTCCACTCCAGGCTCATATCTCCACTCCAGGCCCATATCTCCACTCCAGGGCCATATCTCCACTCCAGGCCCAGATCTCCACCTCCAGGCCCGTATCTCCACTCTAGTCCCATATCTCCACTCCAGGCCCATATCTCCACCTCCAGGCCCATAACTTCACTCCAGGCCCATAACTCCACTCCAGGCCCATATCTCCACCTCCAGGCCCATATCTCCACTCCAGGGCCATATCTCCACTCCAGGCTCATATCTCCACTCCAGGCCCATATCTCCACTCCAGGGCCATATCTCCACTCCAGGCCCAGATCTCCACCTCCAGGCCCCTATCTCCACTCTAGTCCCATATCTCCACTCCAGGCCCATATCTCCACCTCCAGGCCCATAACTTCACTCCAGGCCCATAACTCCACTCCAGGCCCATATCTCCACCTCCAGGCCCATATCTCCACTGCAGACCCATATCTCCACTCCAGGCCCATATCTCCACTCCAGGCCCAGATCTCCACTCCAGGCCCAGATCTCCACTCCAGGCCCAGATCTCCACCTCCAGGCCCCTATCTCCACTCTAGTCCCATATCTCCACTCCAGTCCCATATCTCCACCTCCAGGCCCATAACTTCACTCCAGGCCCATAACTCCACTGCAGACCCATATCTCCACTCCAGGCCCATATCTCCACTCCAGGACCATATCTCCACTCCAGGCTCATATCTCCACTCCAGGCCCGTATCTCCACCTCCAGGCCCATAACTTCACTCCAGGCCCATAACTCCACTCCAGGCCCATATCTCCACTCCAGTCCCATATCTCCACTCCAGTCCCATATCTCCACCCTAGGCTCCTACCTCCCCTCCAGGTTCCTATCTCTCCTCCAGGTTCCTCTCTCCACTCCAGGTTCCTATCCCCACTCCAGGCCCATATCTCCACTCCAGGCCCAGATCTTCACTCCAGGCCCAGATCTCCACTCCAGGCGCAGATCTCCACTTCTAGGCTCATCACTCCATCTCTAGGCCCAGATCTCCACTCCAGGCCCATAACTCCACCTCCAGGCCCATATCTCCACCTCTGGGCCCAGATCTCCATCCCCACGCTCCCTCCCTCTATTCCCTTCCAGGACTCACCAACACACGCCATGATGATGACCATGAGCGACATGGTGCTGCCGGTGCAGACAGGCGGCCGCGCCCCAGCTCAGCTCAGCAGCACACAGGATGTTATTTGGCGCCCTGCCCATGCAGTTTACATGTTGACCACATCATGGGAGGGTGACGTACGCAGGCTTTTTCTACCTTGCATGAGGCCCAGTGGGTGCTCGCTCAAGAGCGGAACATGGCTTCCTGGAAATTGCTCTCACTAGAATTGACACCTCGCGTCCTTCACTATGACCAACTCAAAACATGTCTTAGATCCAACCTCCCAAACATGAGATGCCTAAAATCTGTGCTAACATGAAAGACTTTTCATGAATTTTTATTGTTTTTATCTGAGATTCGAACTCTTCTTCCTGTGTAATATGCAAAATATCTAATAGGTATTATTAGTGTTTTCAGAGTCATTGTGACTAATAAACCATTAGAATTGTTCATGCTTGTATTTCTAGTATTACAGCAGAACCAGTTCAAATGATTTAAATTCCCAGGGAAGGATTATGCAATTATTTACAATCTTAGAATTGTACTTTATCAGCAAAAACCACACATGTAAATTCTGGATTTTTGTAGTTTTATCTATAATTTGTCTCATGACTCAAGATTTCAGAGTCCCAACTTTGGAGTTTGCTCTCTCTCTGTCTCTCTGCCTCCCTCATTTTAAATTTTACAGAAATATCCAGTAACATAATGCTATAGAAAATCAAGTTTCCCCCAGCAGGTCGGGAAGCCGAGGTGGGCGGATCAACTGAGATGAGGAGATTGAGAGCAGCCTGGCCAACATAGTGAAACCGTGTCTCTGCTAAAAATCCAAAAATTAGCCGTGCCTGGTGGCAGGCACCTGTAACGCCAGCTACTCAAGAGGCTGAGGCACGAGAATCGCCTGAACCTGGGAGGCGGAAGTTGCAGTGAGCTGAGATTGCTCCACTACAGTCCCGCCTGGGCGACAGAGCAAGACTCCGCCTCAAGAAAAAAAAATAGCAAGTAGCCTATAATAACAAATTAGAGGGCTCTGGCTACTAAATTTAAAGGGTTTTATAAGGCTACATGAAGTGCAGCATCCTCAAGAGTGTGGACACAGAGAGCCCCTTAGCAGAAACAGTGTCTAAAATACATCCGTGTACACACAGTCCCTTTAGAGTTGACAAAGGCTGCCGTGTGGTTTAAGGTGGCATAGAATGTCTTCTTAATAAATAATATTAAACCAAAGGGTTACACGTAGGAAAAAATAAATCTAAACTTATTCTCACACTATAAAAACACTTCTTACTTTTTATCTAGTTATTGTACATTTTTTATGATTTATATTTAAAATTGAGAAATAAAAGTCATATACGGTCATCCTTTACTATTCGTGGGTGATTGGTTTCAGGATCTCCACTCAGGTACCAAAATCTGCAGATGCTCAAGCCTCTTACATAAAATGACACAGCATTTGGATATAACCCATGCACATCCTCCTGTATACATGAAATCATCTCTTGATTACTTATAATTCCTGATACAGCCTACACACTGCCTCATTTGTGTCCATTCAACATAGTTTTGCATTTTGAAACTTTGTGGACATTTTCTCTGAATATTTTTGATTTACACTTGGTTCAATAAACACCTGTAAACCCCACAGATATGGAGGAGCGACTGTATATTTATAGTATGAAATATGATGTGTTGATATGTGTCCCCGTGGAGATGAGACTAGCAAGGCTTATGACTCTACAAATGTTTCATCGTGGAATGACTCTGCCAGCTTTCCAGGTTGCAGAGAGTAAGAATATCACTTGTTCATGTGATTCACGATCCTTGGAACCTCCTATGTGCTGCATCTTTGGATGGAAATTGGAGTCCCAGAGACAAATGAGGCTCCACCCTGCTTCCAGAAGCTCAGAATCCAGGGGTGAGAACCCAGCGGAGAACAGATGGGGTTATGTGGACATGGTAATGATAACAGCGGTTTCTTTCAGCGAATACAGTGTCACATTACCTGAAGCAATGAGGGCAGACATGTTTATTTGAAGAGGAGACAGCTACATTGAAATCACAAAAAATTTTATAAGTTTCACTGCTGACAGAAGGCTGGAAAATAGTCCGAAGAAAGGTGAAACAGCATGAGGGAAGGTGGAACAGCACGTGGGTAAGTGCCACGTCAAGAGGGAGCCTCTTGTATGTTTGGAATTGTGAGTTCCTCAGTGTGATTGCAGCCTCAAGTAGACTAGGAAGTAAGCCAGTTAGGTTGGAGAGGTGGGCAGGGGTCAAGTGAAATGGAGAACTGTGGGCTAAGCAAAGGAGTGTGTTTTCTTTCCAGCAGGCAGTGGGGACCTAGACATTTGTAAGCAAGAGAGAGGCACCAGATTTGTGGCGTGAGGAGGAGCGATGCCCTAAGATGAAGACTCACGCCTTCAGATTCCAGCTGCTGGTACATGGGAGCTGGCAACTCGGTTTTGAGACAGGGCTGTTGTCTCCCTAGAAGACGTCCTCAAGGCCTGACTGTGGTGCTCATGGGCAGGAGACAACTTTGGATCTGGGCTTAGCATTTGGAAGTTCCGTGTACAAGATGGTATCTGTAGGGGGTGTCTTGGGCCTCTGAGAAGGGCGAGTGATTTTTCTCTGTGTGAAAACGCAGTGATCCAACTGTGCGTATGTCACCTCCTCAGGGTCTTGTTCATCAGAGTCCTGGAGAGAGGGAAATGCTGAGTGAGGGAGGGAAATGCTGAGTGAGGGAGGGTGCTCACGTTTTCCAGGACTGTTTGGGAATAACACTAGCCACGAGGCTGGGCCGAGGAGCACCTACCTCGCTGTTGGCTGTTCTGTTCCCTGCAGGCTCTTGGTCCATTACAGCAGCATCTGTAGGAGACGGAAGTCAACAAAAGAGCTCGGAGGGCACTTCTGGGTCCTCATTTCATAAGCAGATACCAACAAACAGGGGGAGGCCATAGGTGCCTGAGGTCCCTCAGTTGCCAACAGCAGACTCAGACATTCTATCTCTCTGAGCTCAAGGACCCATCCCATGAATAGCTCTGAGTTCCCATCCCATTGATTCTGTCTCCCACTTTCTGCCTCTCATGGAACCTTCTCCTGGATGTGAGTGGCTGCAGGGGACATGAGGATACAGTTCAGAATCAGGCAACGGTCTGTGAGCTGAAGGCAGGGGCAGGGAGTCTGGTGCTCTCTCTAGAAAGTCCTGCCTCTGTGGCTCCTGTCTTGGGCCAGGGACCATCCTGCCAGTGAGGAACACACAGCTGTGTGCTCCCATCCTGCTTCCCCACATGGCCCTGAGCTCTCTGGCCTGTGCCCCGTGAGACTTACTTTTTTTGTTGGAGCACCAGAGATGAAGGAGAAAGAAGAGGAGGAGGATGAAGAGGATGATGACCACTGAGGTCCCAATCAGAATGTGCAGGTGTCTGGGGTTACCTGGAAGAAGAGGAGACACCAGTAAGAAGCTAATCATAGCAGTTTCTCTATATGAATTGTCTTGCATTTCTTGATTGACAGGTAACCACTTACAGCATCTCTTTCGGACAAGCACCCAGATGGCGGGAGACCTAGCTTCCTCCTGCTTTCTCAGTTATAGCTCTCATAGTAACCATGGAACGTGCTGAGGATACAACTACTTTAGTTGAGATGTTTGACCCCTTCAAACCTCACATTGAAATTTAACCCCCAGTGTGGGAGGTTGGGCCTCTTGGGAGGTGTTTGGGTCATGGAGGTGGATCCATCATGAACAGATCAATGCTGTCCCAAGGAGACGGGGTTAGCAAGTTCCCTCTCTATTAGTTCCTGGAGAGCTGGTTGTTAAAAAGAGCTTGGAAGCTCCATTGCTCCCCCTCCCCCTTGCTCCCTCTCTTGCCGTGTGATCTCTGTGGTCTCTGCACAGACAGACCCTCCTTCCCTTCTGCCAGAGTGGGAGCGGCCTGAGGCCATCATAAGAAATAGATGCTGGTGCCATGCTTCCAGTACAGCCTGCAGAATGGTGAGGCAAACCAATCTCTTCTTTAGAAGTTACCCAGGCTCAAGTGTTCCTTTAGAGCAACAAAAATGGACTAAGACAGCAAAGTCCTGAGATCAGGAGGATCGTCCCAGAACAGCCTGGGCTGTCTTCCTGTTCTTCCTGGAGGAGGACGTCATGCAGTGCTTTAGCTGAGTGCTTCCTGTGGCTCCAGGGTACAAAACCCAGGCTGGGCTGCTTTCTGGCTTCCCCCAGCTACACTGCAAATGGGGTGACTCCACATGTCTCGAGCAGCTTTTCTGAGCCTTGGGGAACTGGCTCACATTGAAATGTAGGCTTCTGTTGTCACTCGCTGCTTATCTGTTAGTAATGAACCTGCCTATGTAACGTATTCTCTGTGTGTTCTGTCTCCCTGGAGTGACGGTGAGTGATAGGAATTGGCATAGGCCCAGGTGCAGTCCAGGAGGTGTTTAGAGTCTTCTCTGGGAAGACTGGACTGGGATTGATACACAGCGAATGTGCTTTAGGATTTCTACATCCACGGCATTCTTGAGTTAAACAACTTGCATTCTCCAAGAAAAGGAAACAAAAGTGAAATCAATATAAAAAAAGCGAAGTAGAATTCTCTTATGTCAAACAGCCAGAAAATAGTGTTGAAGCCCGTGTGAAATGTGCTACTCTTTGTGATCTCGGGAGACACATGTTAGGCTGCTGTTCTACCTCAGAGGCTGGGGGAAGGACCACCCCCTCGACTATCTATTGCTTCAATACCACCTGTCCTCCTGTGAATTAGTAGGAAAGGGGAGCAGGAGCTAGTGCTGGCACTGATCTCTGATTCCAAGATCTGGACTCACTCCAAGGAGTATTAGCATTTACCTCCCCATGATCTATCTGTATCTCCACAGGTGATTGGAAGTAGGGGTGAGATGGGGGATTTGGGTGAGGGGGCAAGTTTTTTTTGTGATGACCAGAGCACTTTCTCTATTCCAGGATTTGTGCTGGAGGATTCAGCGGGCTTTCACATTTTCTATATGATCTCATGCTCACAGAAAGCCAAATACGGAAGAGGTTTTAGGCTGATTGCCTAATGGATAAGATAAAGGATCAAAGAAGTAATTATAGAGAAATAGAAAAATGATGATGGGAATTCAGGTGCCTTTGTCATTCGTGTGTGTTTTATTATATTTATGCATTTCTTATTTTTATTTTTTGAGATGGAGTCTCCTTGTGTCACCCAGGCTGGAGTGCAGTGATGCGATCTCCACTCACTGCAACCTCCACCTCCTGGGTTGAAGTCATTCTCCTGCTTCATCCTCCAGAGCAGGAGCTGGGATTACAGGGATGCACCACCATGCTCGGCTAATTTTTGTATTTTTAGGAGAGATAGGGTTTCACCATGTAGAGATAGGGTTTCTCCATGTTGGCCAGGCTGGTCTCGAACTCCTGACTTCTTGGAATCCACTGGCCTTAGCCTCCTGCAGTGCTGGGTTACAGGAGTGAGCCACCGTTCACAGACTTGTATACTATGCTATAATAGGTCCCTTCATTTCCACCACCCCTCATATATCTGTCACTCCTTTGGCAGGTATTGATTTATGTGTAGGAGGAATAAATCTCAGAAAGAAATTAATTTAGCAAGGATTAAACAACTAGGAAACTCAAACCCAGCAAGCCCTCCCTGCAAATGATTCTACCTCCCAAACATAGCTTATATCCATCTGCTTCATCCACTTAGGGTCTAAATCAGCACCACATTTCACCAGTGGGGCGGCAATTGCCTTTTCCACTGTCTCCTAGATTCCAGTTACGCACCTGGGCCTCCCTTATTTTCATGTCAGTCACTATTAATCATGTAGGGATTCCTGGCTACCCCGAGGTGAATCCAATGGCTGTGAGTGTCAAACACACACTCCTTGTTGCTCCTTAGTTTCCTGTGTACCCAGTGTGCTCTCCGTCTCTCCACAGTCGTCTTGTCATTCTCCCCACCTCATTCCCAGCATTTCAGGCAGAGCCTCTTCCTTCCACATCAGATTGTTTTCAGCTTTCTGCCTTCACGGCTGACAGCTGTGTGTGGAAAATCCTTCCGCCAATCTTTCAGGGGTTCAATCCGTGTTTTTCATTAATGTCACAAATATCTGATTAGTGAGACCTTCTCTGTCA
Source organism: Homo sapiens (assembly GCF_000001405.40). Classification (NCBI taxonomy): domain Eukaryota; kingdom Metazoa; phylum Chordata; class Mammalia; order Primates; family Hominidae; genus Homo; species Homo sapiens. Next base: position 100,877 of record NT_187683.1, on the reverse strand, counting down.
CCCAAAATTATACACTCAGCATTATCTATTATTTATTTTGAATTCTGGCTGGGCAAAGTGGCTCACGCCTGTAATCCCAGTACTTTGGGTTGCTGAGATGGTCGGATCACTTGAGGTTGGGAGTTTCAGACAAGCTTGGCCAACATGGTGAAACATCCTCTCTACAAAAAATATACAAAAAGAATTAGCCGGGCATGGTGGCAGTTGCCTGTAATCCCAGCTACTCGAGAGGGTGAGGCAGGAGAATCACTTGGATCCAGGAGACGCAGGTTGCAGTGAGCCAAGATCGTGACACTGCACTGTAGCCTGGAAGACAGAGGGAGACTCTGTCTCAATAAATAAATGAACGAACAAACAAATAGATTTCATGCACAGATGCTTCCCAATGGATCATTCATTTATTGGTCCACTTGTGCATTCATTTTCTGTCCTCCCATTTAACCATCTGCAATATCAGTGTCCCAAGAGCAGAGGCCAAATGCATCTTGTTCACCGTTCGTGGAAGGCAGGAGAATGCTGTCCCACCCCAAAATGTCCCTGTCCTAGCCTCCATAGCTTGTGAATATCTTATTTTACATGGAAAGAAGGAATGAAGATTGCAGATGGAATTACGGTTGCTAGTCAGCTGAACTGAAAACAAGGGTATCCTGAATGATTTCCGGGAGATTATGATGGATTTTCATCTTGGTGAACCCAATAGAATCCCCAAGTTTTCAAAAGATAAGGAAGAAGGGAGAGCAGCATTCAGAGAAAGAGGTGTGGTAAGGAAGAAGGGTCTGAGTGATGCCATGTGAGATGTGACCAGTCTTTGTGGGCTTTGAGGAAGGAGGAAGGGGACCAGGAGCCAAGGAACTGGGAGCCTTTAGAAGCTGGGACAAGTGAGAAGCAGATTCTTGCCTGGAATCCTCAGAGGGAAGGCAGCCTTGCTGTCACCTTGATTTTAGCCCAGTAAGATGCACTTCCTACTTTGAGCTACAGCACTGTAAGATAATTAAAAAACCGTTTTGTTTTCACCCACGAATCTTGTGGAAATTTGTTATGGCAACAATAGGAAAGGATTCCAACTGCACAGCCTGAGCATGGGGCCGTGGCTGAATGAGTCAGTGAGTCGAAGTGTGCGTGCATGAGCTCTGTTCTCTGTTACGGCAAGGCTCTTGCTCTGCTGAGTCAGCCAGGGTTGCTTCATGACCAACAGTAATTCATTCCTTGGCAAGTGGAACTTCTCTAAAACACCTCGCCCTCATCAGATGTTCCCTTCCCTTCCCTCTCTCAAGTCCCCAGGAATTTATCCTCCAGTTAGGAATGCAGGAAGAAAAAACACTGCATGTTTCCTGAGAAGGATGTCAGATTGGCAATCATTCTTCTAGCTTGTAGGAGGTCTCACCTGCAGGACATTAAAGGTTAAGAGACTTCGCTGAGCCCTTTGGTGGCCCTAGATCCCTTTCACTGTTGGAGTGTCTGGAGTTCAGAGATGGTGGAAGACAGGCCCTCATTCACAGAGCTGGGAGGTTTGAGCCAACACTTGCATCCAAGGCTTCCACCTCCCCAGGTTTCCAAAAGCAGAGATAAGAGGGGTCCTTTACTCACCAGATTTGGAGCTTGGTTCTGTGGGTGAAGGCCAACTACTTGAAGGGTTTCCTAGAACATGGGACAGGAGAGATGTGAGGAAATGAGGGTGCTTGTCCTCTACTCAATGGAAATCTTTGAGGTTGGTTCATGGCCAACACTCTGTTATCTAATGTTGGACCCTGGGAGTCTTGGGATCCTCTTCTCCATAATTTTTGTGTGCGATGCCCACTGTCTTGAGACTTGAAGGTATAAAGAGAAAACAGGAGCATCACACTACCTGACTTAGAAATATGTTACAGAGCTGTAGTAAGCAAAACAGCATGACATTGGCATAAAGAAAGGCACATAAAAAATGAAACAGAATGGAGAACACAGATATAATCCATGCATTTACATCCAATGGCTTTTTTTGTGTGTGTGTGTGTTAGAATCTTGCTCTGTCATGCAGGCTGGAGTGCAGAGGTGCAATCTCAGCTCAATGCAACCTCCACTTCCTGGATTCAAGCAATTCTCTTGCCTCAAACACCCGAGTAGTGGTATTACAGGCACTGGTCACCATGCTCAGCTAATTTTTGTATTTTTAGTAGAGACGAGGTTTCACTCTGTTGGCCAGCCTGATCTTGAACTCCTGGCTTCAGGTGATCCACCCGCCTCGGCCTCCCAAAGTGCTGGAATTGCAGGTGTGAGCCACCATACCCAGCCCATTTAATGGACTTTGACAAAGGTGCCGAGAACTTACAATCAGGAAAGGACAGTCTTTTCAATAAATGGTGTGGGGAAAACTGGATATCTACATGCAGAGGAATAAAACTGCATCTATACCTGTCACCATACACAAAAATCAAATGAAAATGGATTAAAAACATGAGTCTAAGGCCTGAACCTATGAAACATGTAGAAGAAAATAATGGGGAAGACATTTGTCTGACGAAAGACATTTTGTTTAAAACCTTCAAAACACAAGTAATCAAAGCAAAAAATAGACCATTAGGATTACATCAAACCAAGCAACTTCTGCACCACAAAAGATAAACCAAGAAAGTGAAGAGACAACCGACAAAATAGGAGCAAATATTTGCAAACTATTCATCTGAGACGGGATTAATAACTGGAAATATAAGAAGCTCAAACAACTCAATAAAACAATTTAATTAAAAAACGAGCAAAAGACATGAGGAGACATTTCTCCACAAACAAAACATAGAAATGGCGATCACGTATATGAAAAAGTACTCGGCATCACTCATCATCAGAGAAATGTAAATTACAATCGCGATGAGTTTTCATCTCATCCCATTAAAATGCCTTTTAGGCCGGTGGCTCACGCCTGTAATTCCGGCACTTCAGGAGGCGGAGGTGGGCGGATCACCTGAGGTCGGGAGACCAGCCTGACCATCATGGAGAAACTCCCTCTCTACTAAACATACAAAAATTAGCTAGGCGTGGTGGCACATGCCTGTAATCCCAGCTACTTTGGAGGCTGAGGCAGGAGAATCAGTTGAACGCGGGAGGCGGAGGTTGCAGTGAGCTGAGATCACACCCTTGCACTCCAGCCTGGGAGACTATGAGTGAAACTCCATCTCAACATAAATAAATAAATAAAATAAAGTAAAGTAAAATGGCTTTTACTGCAAGACAGGCAAAACAAATGCTGGCAAGATGGTAGAGAAAGGAGAACCCTGGTACCCTGTTGGTAGGAATGTAAATTAGTACAACTATTATGGAGAAAAGTATGGAAATTCTTTAAAAAACTAAAAGGAGGCTGGGCATAGTGGCTTATGCCTGTAACTTCAGCACTTTGGGAAACCGAGGCAGGCACCTCACTTGAGGTCAGGAGTTTGAGAGCAGCCTGCCCAAAATTGGGATATCCCGTCTGTGCTAAAAAAAATACAAAAATTAGCCAGGCATGGTGGCGTGCACCTGTAATCACAGCTACTAGGGAGGCTGAGTCAGGACAATCATTTGAACCTAGGAGGCACAGGTTGCAATGAGCCAAGATCTCACCACTTAGACTCCAGCTTGGACTAAGGAGGGAAACTCTTTCTCAAAAAAGAAAAAAAAAAAAAGAGAACTTTCATAGTGTCCAGCAATTTCACTACTGGGTTTATATCCAAAGGAAAGGACATCAGTGTATCGAAGTGATATCTGCACTCATATGACTGTTCCAGCACTGTTCACAGTAGCCAAGATGTGGAGTCAACCTACCTGCCCATCAGTGGGTGAATGGATAGAGAACTGTGGTACACACACACAGTGGAGACTACTCATCCATAGAAACAATAACATCCTGTCATTTGCAGCCACATGGATGGAACTGGAGGTCATTACAAAGATTCCCATTTCTCACCCACATGCAGGAGATAAAAGGTGGATCTCATGAAGGTGGAGAATACAATGGTGGACACCAGAGGCCAGGAAGGGAAGGGTGGAGGGTAACAAAAAAAAGAATATAGATGTATTTATTTATTTAGAAACAGAGTCTCTCTCTGTCTCCCAGGCTGCAGTGCAGTGGCATGATCTCGGCTCAGTGCAACCTCTGCCTCCTGGCTTTAAGTGCTTCTCCTGCCTCAGCCTCCCAAGTAGCTAGGACTACAGGTGCATGCCAGCATGCTCGGCTAATTTTTCTTGTCTGTTTAGTAAAGATGAATTTCCCACATGTTGGCCAGGGTGATCTCGAGTTCCTGATCTTAAATGATCCACCTTCCTTGGCCTCTCAAAGCGCCGAGATTACAACCGTGAACCACCACACCCAGCATATAAAGGTATTTATGACCACTAGATTTTACTTTTAAAAATGGTAAAGGTGGTAAATTATATAGTTACATTTAACCTCAATAAATATTTTTGAAAATGAAAAGAAAAGGGTGTAGGGGTTGCTGGTGATGATATCTCTCTGTGTGGGTGAGAGGCCATGATGGGCTTCTGGGAAATGGATAAGATTGAGGGGCTGAGGGAACCTCTGATCTCCCCAAACTAAGCCCAGTCTCCCCTTCTCTGGGTCTGTCCTGACCGCTTTCTCCATCTGCCTGGGTGCCTGGAGCCCTGATCGGAGGCCTCCATGCAGGCCATGAAGGAGGGTTTGGAGGTGCCCTGTCTGCCATCCTGCGCCCTGACTCCGCCCTCACACCTGCTGTGTCTTCTCTCTGCATCTGTCCATGCTTTTCTCCATCATCAGCAGGAAGCTCCTTAGCTAAGGATTTAGGATCATAGGACATGAGAGAGATATGGGCTTTTCTCACCTGTGACAGAAACAAGCAGTGGGTCACTCGGGTCTGACCACTCGTAGGGAGAGTGACGGAAAGAGCCGAAGCATCTGTAGGTCCCTCCGTGGGTGGCAGGGCCCAGAGGGAAATCTGCCTGGAATGTTCTGTTGACCTTGCGCACTGCAGGGAGCCTACGTTCATGGGCTCCCCCCTCCCTGGATAGATGGTACATGTCATAGGAGCTCCGGGAGCTGCAGGACAAGGTCACGCTCTCTCCTGCCTGAACCTTGGGGCCCGGCTGGGCTGAGAGAGAAGGTTTCTCATATGGACCTGGAAGGAGAAGAGGCAGTTTCCTCAGGGAGGTTCTTCCTTGTCATAGCTCCCCTCATACCTGAGCTGAGAACTCACTCCCCTGCTCTATGACCTAATGCTCTCTCTCTCTCTCTCACCCTCCACCCCATCTCTCTTCATATCTGTTTCCTCCTTCTACCTTTTCTGTCTCTCTAGGTCTATGACCTCACTTCCCCACCCTGAGGTATGTTTTCCCTTTTTGGATTGTTTTATTCTCTCTGACCCTCCTTGGATTGGTTGACTTGATCTTCCTTTTTCTTTAATTTTGAGTCTCTCACTTTCTGTCTTGTTCATAACTTTCTGCACATTTCTATCTATTTATCTATTTTGTGTCTATCTACAAATTATCTATCATCTATATTTATGTATCACTTATCTATCTCTCTATCAATTGTCTATCTGTCTATCTATCCATCAATCATCTATTATCTATATATGTATCATCTATCTCTCTCTCTATTACCTCTCTGTCTGCCTCTCTGTCTCTATTTATGTATCATCTATGTATATATCTATGTGTCTATCATCATCATCGTCATCTCTATGTATCATCTATCAGTCATCATCTATGTATCTATAACCAATCCATTATCTATCATCTACCTATTTATCATCTATCTACGTCTATCTATCCATCTATCATCTCTCTCTCTCCGTCTCCTTGTCTTTCTCTGCCTCTCAGTCTCTCTAGTTCTATTTGGAATCTCTGCAATCCATCCCCACATATTTATCTTTCTCTGTCTTTGTGTCCCTCCCTCAGGGTTCTGATTTTGGGGCTTTTCTCTCCTCCTTTCCATCATTCTCTCCATTCTGCCCTCTTTTCTTTCTTTTTATGTGTCTGTGAATCTCTTAATCTCCTTCTTCTGGCTCATTTTGTGTGTGTTTATGTCTTTGTTTTTTGGTGTCCCTGATTTTTCTCTGTGTCTCTCAGCGATCCTATCATATGTGGGATTATTTGGAATATGAGCCTCAGAATCCAGTCTGGGGACCCCAAGTTCACACAGCATACAGGGGTTGGTGTTCAGGGGCCATGATATCCTGGGATGATTACTCTCCATTGCATGGAAGGCAGAGGTGTCAGAATAAACACGGCATCTGTAGGTGGCACAAGGCCTGAGGCCACAGGGCCCAACTCAGGTCAGAAATATGGGTGTCCTTGGGTTCTTCTGGTAGGAACACTTTGTGGAGGTAAAACAGAAATGAAACTTCTAACCTGTGCCAGGTCTCTGAGCAAAGTCAGCATGGAAGGACACCTCTCTCTGGGACATGTCTGTCTGTCTGAGTGTCTCCTTTACCTCTTTCTCTCTTTTCTACCTCCCTGTATGGCCCCTGTGTCTGTCCTCTGTTATGACACCTGTTCTGTACTTATGTCTCCTGTTTCTCTGTCTCTGTTGGTACAGACCTCACCAAGTCACTCTCTTTCCATAAGAATCCCACACTTATCTTCCTCATGACCACCTGGGGGTTCCAAGTCCTGGATCATTCACTCTGTGTCCCAGTGACAATGAGAACAATGTCTAGACACTCTCACCTGTGACCACGATGTCCAGGGGATCACTGGGAGCTGACAACTGATAGGGGGTGTGAGTAACAGAACCGTAGCATCTGTAGGTCCCTGCAAGGGCAAGCATCATGGGACCGATGGAGAAATTGGCCTTGGAGACCCCATCATGGATCTGTCCAACGAGGCGTGAGGGGTCCTTAGAGATCCCCTCTTTGTGCAGAAAGAAGTGCTCAAACATGATATCTGACCAACATTGCAGGATGACTCTCTCTCCTGATTTCACCAGGGGACCTGGGTGGGCCAGGAGGGAAGGTTTTCTGTGGTTTCCTAGAAAGAGAAGTTGTGAGTTTAGAAGGCATCTCTCTTTATCATCCCATCCATGGCACCTGGAATGAGTGAGGGTTCCCCTCCCCGTGTCTGTCTCTCTCCTCCCTCTCTGCATCTCCGTGTCTTTTCTGTGCCCATATCCCCTGGTGCAGGTGCCTCCATCTGTCTTCCTCCCTCTTCTCTGTCCCTCTGTCTCCAGTAGCCCCTGACTCCCTTGCCACTGTGAAGACAGCCTCATCTCTTGGGCTGTTGTATCTGTTTCCCACTAATCTCTTTCCTGCTGTCTATGTGGGGGTGGAAGAGGAGAGGCTGCATGTCCAGGCTCTTAGCAGCCTGAATCAATCTCTTTTGAACAAATCCCCAGTTCAAGTGATTCTCTTGCCTCAGCCTCCCCAGTCGTTGGATTACTCGCGCCCACCACCACATCTGGCTATCCTTGTTTGGTTTCCTAACTTGTCCTTGACCTGGGTTCCTGTGTTGGTTTCCTGTTGCTGCTGCAGAAAATTACCACAAACATGGCAGCGGGAGAGAACACACTGACCCCTTCCACTTCTGGAGACAGAAATTGGATCCAGTTCTCCCTGTGCTGAAATCAAGGTGTCTACAGGGCTGCGTTCCCTCTGGAGAATCAGCGAATCAGTTCTCTTGACTTCTCCAGCCCTTAGAGGCCACCTGCATTCTGTGACTAGTGGTCTTCCTCCACCTTCAAAGCCCGCAGTGGCTGATAGCGTCTCCTTCCCACTACACTGCTCTAATCCCCACTCCCCTCTTCCTCCACCTCTCATGTGGACCCTTGTGATTACACTGAGCCCAGTGGGACAGTCCAGGCTGTCTCCCCATCTCAAGGTCAACTCATCAACAACCTGAGCTCCACCTTCCCCTTCAGTCCCCTGCCCTGTAACATAAATAGTCACAGGCTCCAGGGATTACAATGTAGCCATCATTGGGGACAGTGATTCTTCCCACCACAGCACCCATTTCCCCTGTATTCAATCTCCCTTGACCCCAAATACAGTCAGGGCCTGGGTGATGGGACCCTGACGGACACCCCCACCAGAAGCTCTGGGATTCAGGAGGTGGGACAGTGAGAAGCCCAGACGGAAAGCCTCTGACCTGTGACCATGATCACCACGGGGTTGCTGGGTGCCGACCACCCAGTGGGGGAGTGTGGGTGTGAACCCCGACATGTGTAGTTCCCTGCATGTGCTGTGGTCACAGGGCTCATGTTGAAGCTCTCCTGGAATAATCTGCCATGGAAGATGGGAACGTGGATTCTGTCTTCTTTGTATAGCATGAAATTGTTAAACCTATGACGATAGTGACACCGAAGAGTCACGTGTCCTCCTCGAGGCACCACAGCGCTGGGCCAGGCAGACAGGAAGGGCTTGTCCTGACCACCTGGGGGAGAAGGAGGCACTGCCTTAGAGAGGAGGATGTGGAGCCGCCCCTCACTCCCAGTGCCCAGAAGATTCTCCCCATTTCCACTTTCTAAGGCTCCTACCACACCTGGGTGCCCAGGGCTACAGGAAGGACCCATCCTGCATAGACATGGCGTCTCCCTACAACAAGTGTCAGCTGAGAACTTTGAGCAAGTGCTGGAGAAGCAACTCTTACTAGATTTTAATACTGCAAAATTACTCATATAAAACAACACAAAGTAGACACGGCATGGAGGGCAAGTCCTATGTGAATGGAATATCAGCCAATTGATGAACTGAGCCCCCATCAGAGGATTTGGAATGTCAGGGCCATGGCTGTGGTTTCCTCACCTTTTCTGGTAGAAAGACCACAGCCACACTGCAGCCCCTACCATCACGGAAACGCTGGAGGGTGTGAGTTACACCTTTGTCCTCAGAGGACCTGCTGTTCCTAGCACTGCTTCCCTCTCTTTCTCTGCTGCTGACACCACTTCCTCCCTGCACACCCATCTTGGAGCACCCTAGTCTCACCCCAGTCTTCACAGAGCTTGACTCAGGAAAGGGAAAGAAAGGCCGGGGAGGGCAAGGTCAGAAATGTGGGCCGAGCATCCGAGGGTCCCCTCTTCCTAGTTTATGAGAGACTCCCCGACAGGACTTCCCTCCCATTTCAGGAAAATCCTCTTATGTGGGGAGATGACACCCTAAGGTTTGGGGAAGGACTCACCCACGTGTGGACCGGCCCTCTGGACCAAGAAGAACCCTAGAAAGAAAGATCATGATGGACCATCCATCTGCAGGCAAACCAGGGCACCCTGCTGCCCCCACTGGGCTGTGCGTCTTGGCAGCCAGGCCCTTGCTGGGCTGAAGGTAAACTCACCCTCGCTGCCTACCTGCCCCCAGGAACAAGGATCTCGGCTGTGCAGAGACTCAGCCTCCAGGCCCAGATCTCTACCTCCAGGCCTAGATCTACACAACAGGCCCAGATCTCCACTCCAGGTCCGTATCTCCACTCCAGACCCATATCTCCTCTCCAGGCTGATAAGTCCACTCCAGGCCCATATCTCCACTCCAGGCTCCTATCTCAACTCCAGGCTCATATATCCACTCCAGGCTCATATCTCCACTCCAGGCCCATATTTCCACTCCAGGCTTCTATCTCCTCTCCAGGCCCATATCTCCTTTCCAGGCTTGTATGTCTGCTCCAGGCCCGTATCTCCACCCCAGGCCCATATCTCCACTCCAGGATCATATCTCCACTCCAGGCCCAGATCTCCACTTCATGCCCTTAACTCCACCTCCGGGCCCATAACTCCACCTCTAGGCCCATATCTCCACTCCAGGCCCATATCTCCACTTCAGGCCCATATCTCTACTGCAGGCCCATAACTCCACCTCCAGGCCCATATCTCCACTCCAGGCCCATCGCTCCACTTCTAGGCCCATCACTCCACCTCTAGGCCCACATCTCCCCTCCAGGCCCATCCATATCTCCCCTCCAGGCCCATATCTCCACCCCAGGCACATATCTCCACCCCAGGCCCATATCTCCACTCCAGGCCCAGATCTCCACTCCAGGCACATATCTCCACCCCAGGCCCCTATCTCCACTCCAGGCCCAGATCTCCACTCCAGGCCCAGATCTCCACTTCAGGCCCATAACTCCACCTCCAGGCCCATAACTCCACCTCTAGGCCCATATCTTTACCTCCAGGTCCAGATCTCCATCCCCGCACTCCCTCCCTCGATTCCCTTCCAGGACTCACCAACACACGCCATGCTGACGACCATGAGCAACATGGTGCTGCCGGTGCAGACAGGCGGCCGCGCCCCAGCTCAGCTCAGCAGCGCACAGGATGTTATTTGGCGCCCTGCCCATGCAGTTTACATGTTGACCACATCATGGGAGGGTGACGTACGCAGGCTCTTTCTACCTTGCGTGAGGCCCAGTGGGTGCTCGCTCAAGAGCGGAACATGGCTTCCTGGAAATTGCTCTCACTAGAATTGACACCTCGCGTCCTTCACTATGACCAACTCAAAACACGTCTTAGATCCAACCTCCCGAACACGAGATGCCTAAAATCTGTGCTAACATGAAAGACTTTTCATGTATTTTTTTTGCTTTTATCTGAGATTCAAACTCTTCTTCCTGTGTAATATGCAAAATATCTAATAGGTATTATTAAGGTTTTCAGAGCAATTGTGACTAATAAACCATTAGAATTTTTCATGATTGTATTTCTAGTATTACAGCAGAACCAGTTCAAATGATTTAAACTCCCAGGGAAGGATTATGCAATTATTTACAATCTTAGAATTGTACTTTATCAGCAAAAATCACAACATGTAAATTCTGGATTTTTGTAGATTTATCTAGAATTTGTCTCATGTCCCAAGATTCCAGAGTTCCAACTCATGGTTTGCTCTCTCTCTGTCTCTCTGCCTCCCTCATTTTAAATTTTACAGAAATATCCAGTAACATAATGCTATAGAAAATCAATTTCCCCAGCACTTTGGAAGCCGAAGTGAGTGATCAACCGAGGTCAGGAGTTTGAGACCAGCCTGGCCAATATAGTGAAACCATGTCTCTGCTAAAAATACAAAAATTAGCCATGCCTGGTAGCAGGCACTTGTAATGCCAGCTATTCAAGAGGCTGAGCCACGGAATCCCTTGAACCTGGGAGGCGGAAGTTGCAGTGAGCCGAGATCGTGCCACTGCACTCCAGCCTGGGCAACAGAGCGAGACTCTGCCTCAAGAAAAATAAAAAAAGCATAGCAAATAGCCTATAATAAATAACTAGAGGACTCCAGCTACCAAATTTTAGGGGTTGTATAAGGCTGCATAAAATGCAGCATTCTCAAGAGAGTGGACAGAGAGAGAGCCACTGAGCAGAAAACAGTGTCTAAAATACATCCGTGTACACACAGTCCCTTTATAGTTGACAAAGGCTGCCATGTGGTTTAAGGTGGAATAGAATGTCTTCTCAATAAATAACATGGGCCCAAGGGTTACACATGGAGAAAAATATATCTAAAAGTATTCTCACACTATAAAACACTTGTTTATTTTATCTTGTTATTGTAATTTTTTTATGTTTTATATTTAAAATTGAGAAATAAAAATTATATACAGTCATCCCTCACTATTCGTGGGTGATTGGTTTCAGGATCTCCACTCAGATAGCACAATCTGCAGATGCTCAAGCCTCTTACATGAAATGGCACAGCATTTGCAAATAACCCATGCACATCCTCCTGTGTACATGAAATCATCCCTTGATTATTTATAATTCCTGATACAGCCTACACACAGCTTCATTTGTGTCCATTCAACATAGTTTTGCTTTTTGAAACTTTGTGGATTTTTTCTCTGAATATTTTTGATTTATATTTGGTTCAATAAACACCTGTAAATCCCACAGATACAGAGGACCGACTGTATATTTATAGTATGAAAGATGATGTGTTGATATGTGTCCCCGTGGAGATGAGACTGACAAGGCCTATGACTCTACAAATGTTTCATCATGGAATGACTCTGCCAGCTTTCCAGGTCTGCAGAGAGTAAGAATATCACTTGTTCATGTGATTCACGATCCTTGGAACCTCTTATGTGCTGCATCTTTGGATGGAAATTGGAGTCTCAGAGACAAATCAGGCTCCACCCTGCTTCCAGAAGCTCAGAGTCCAGGGGTGAGAACCCAGTGGAGAACAGTTGGAGTTATTTGGACATGGTAATGATAACACTGGAAACTTTCAGCCAAAAAAAGAGTCACCTAAAGAATGAAGGCAGACATGTTTATTTGAAGAGGAGAGAACTACACTGAAATCAAAAAAATTTTATAAGGTTTGCTGATGCCAGAAGGCTGAAAAATAGTCTGAGGAAAGGTGGAACAGCACGAGGGAAGGTGGAACAGCACGTGTCTAAGTGCCGTGTTAAGAGAGAGCCTCTTGTATGTTTGGAATTGTGAGTTCCTCAGTGTGATTGCAGCCTCAAGTAGACTAGGAAGTAAGCCAGTTAGGTTGGAGAGGTGGGCAGGGGTCAAGTGAAATAGAGAATTGTGGGCTAAGCAAAGGAGTGTGTTTTCTCTGCAGCAGGCAGTGGGGACCTTAGACATTGGTAAGCAAGAGACAGGCACCAGATTTGTGGTGTGAGGAAGAGTGATGCTCTAAGATGGAGACTCACGCCTTCAGATTCCAGCTGCTGGTACATTAGAGCTGGCAAGCTGGGTTTGAGACAGGGCTGTTGTCTCCCTAGAAGATCCCATCAAGGCCTGACTGTGGTGCTCATGGGCAGGAGACAACGCTCTGGGCTCAGCATTTGGAAGTTCTATACACACGCTGGTATCTGTTGAGGGTCTCTTGCTCCTCTGAGAAGGGCCAGTGATTTTTCTCTGTGTGAAAATGCAGTGATCCAACTGTGCGTATGTCACCTCCTGAGGGTCTTGTTCATCAGAGTCCTGGAGAGAGGGAAATCCTGAGTGAGGGAGGGTGTTCACATTTTTCAGGACTATTAGGGAATAAGACTGTATCCATGAGGCTGGGCTAGGAGGACCTACCTCCCTGTTCACTGTTCTGTGTCCCGCAGGCTCTTGGTTCATTACAGCAGCATCTGTAGGAGACGGAAGCAATCAAAACAGCTGGGAGGGCACTTCTGGGTCCTCATTTCATGAACAGATACCAACACACAGGGGGAGGCCATAGGTGCCTGAGGTCCCTCAGCTGCCAACAGCCAGACTCAGACATTCCATCTCTCTGAGTGCAAGACCCCATTCCATGAATAGCTGTCAGTTCCCATCCCATTGATTCTATCTCCCACTTTCTGCCTGTCATGGAATCTTCTCCTGGATGTGAGTGGCTGCAGGGGACGTGAGGATACAGTTCACAATCAGGCAATGGTCTGTGAGCTGAAGGCAGGGGCAGGGTGTCTGGTGCTCTCTCTAGAAAGCTCTGCCTCTGGCTCCTGCCTTGGGCCAGAGACTTTCCTGCCAGTGAGGAACACACACCTGCGTGCTCCCATCCTGCTTCCGCACAGGGCCCTGAGTTCTCTGGCCTCTGCTTCGTGAGGCTTACTTTTTTTTTTGGAGCACCAGCGATGAAGGAGAAAGAAGGGAAGGATGGTGAAGAGGATGATGGCCACTGAGTACCTAATCACAGCATGCAGGTGTCTGGCGATACCTGGAGGAAGATGAGAATCCAATAAGAAGCTAACCATAGCAGTTCCTCTTTGTGGATTGTCTCTCATTTCTTGGTTGCCAGGCAACCACATAAAACACCTCTTTAGGACAAGCACCCACGAGGCGGGAGACCCAGCTTTCTCCTGCTTTCTCCGTTATAGTTTTCATAATAACAATAGAATGTGCTGATGATACAACTGCTATTGTTTCAATGTTTGACCCCTCCAAACCCCACTTTGAAATTTAATCCCCAGTGTGGGAGGTTGTGCCTATTGGGAGGGGTGTTTTGGTCATGGGGGTGGATCCATCATGAATAGATTAATGCTGTCCCCAGAGGACGGGTTTAGCAAGTTCTCCCTCTATTAGTACCCTGGAGAGTTGATTCTTAAAAAGAGCTTGGAAGCTCCATCACACCCCCTTTCTCCCTCTCTTGCCATGTGATCTCTGTGGTCTCTGCACACGCAGGACCCCCTTCTCTTCTGTCAGTGTGGGAGCAGCCTGAGGCCGCAGCCAGAAATAGATGGTAGTGTCCTGCTTCTAGTACAGCGTGCCGATCAGTGAGCCAAACACATCTCTTTTCTTTAGAAGATACCCAGGCTCAAGTGTTCTTTTATAGCAACAAAAATAGGCTAAGACAGCAACATCCTGAGATCAGGAGGAACGTCTCAGAACAGCCTGGGCTGTCTTCCTGTTCTTCCTGGAGGAGAACATCATGCAGTGCTTTAGCTGAGTGTTCCCTGTGGCTCCAGGGTACAAAACCCAGGCTGGGCTGCTTTCTGGCTTCCCCCAGCTACAGTGCACATGAAGTGACTCCATGTGTCCTGAGCAGTTTTTCTGAGCCTTGAGGGACTGGCTCACCCTGAAAGGAAGGTTTCTGTTGTCACTCGCTGCTTATCTATAAGTAATGAACCTGCCTATGTAATGTATTCCCTGTGTGTTCTGTCTCCCTGGAGTGATGGTGAGTGATAGAAATTGGCACAGGCCCAGGTGCAGTATGGGAGGTGTTTAGAGTCTTCTCTGGGAAGACTGGACTGGGATTGATACACAGTGAATGTGCTTTACAGTTTCTACATCCACAACCCTCTTGACTCAAACAAATTACATTCTCCAAGAAAAGGAAAAAACAGTGACATTGAAATCAACATAAGTGAGGTTGAGCTGTCTTATATCAAACAGCCAGGAAATAATGATGAAGCTCGTGGGCAACATGCTACTTTTGTCATCTTGGGAGTCAGATATTAGGCTGCTGTTCCACCCGAGAGTCTGGGGGAAAGACCACCCCCTCCATCATCTGTTGCTTCAATACAGCCTGTCTTTCTGTGAATTACTCCAAAAGGTGACCAGGAGATAGTGCTGGCACTGGTCTCTGAGTCTACGATCTGAACTCCAAAGAATATTAGTTTTTACCTCCCCATGATCTATCTGTATCATTAATGTGATTGGAAGTAGGGGTGAGGTGGGGGATTTGGGTGAAGGGGCAAGTTTTGTGCCATGAACAGATCACGTTCTCTATTCCAGGACCTGTGCTGGTGGGTTTCACATTTTCCATATGATCTCATGCTCACAGAAAGCCAAATAAGGAAGATGTTTTCGCCTGATTTTCTTATGGATAGGATAAAGGATCAAAGAAGTCATTATAGAGAAATAGAAAAATGATGATTGGAATTGGTGTGCCTTTGTCATTCGTGTATGTTATATTATATTTATGTATTCTTTATTTTTATTTTTTGCCATGGAGTCTCACTCTGTCACCTAGGGTGCAGTGCAATGACGCGATCTTGGCTCACTGTAACCTCTCCCTCCCTGGTTGAAGCCATTCTCCTTCTTCAACTTCCTGAATAGCTGGTATTACAGGCACGCGCCACCACCCCCAGCTAGTTTTTGTATATTTTGTAGAGATGGGGTTTCACCATGTTGTCCAGGCTGATCTCGAACTCCTGATCTCACTTGATCCAGCCTCCTCAGCCTCCCAAAATGTTGGGTTACAGGTGTGAGCCACCGTTCAGAACCTTGTGTGTTATATTATAATAGGTCTCTTCCTTTGCACCACCCCTCATGTATCTCTCACTCCTCTGCCAAGTATTGATTTACATGTAGGAAAAATAAATCTCAGAAAGAAATCAATGAAGTGAAGATTAAACAATTAGGAAAAATCAAACCAGGCAAGCCCTCCCTGCAAATTACTCTACCTCACAAACACATCTTGTGTCCATCTTTCATTCATTTAGTGTCTAAATCAGCACCACATTTCACCAGGGGGGCGGGAATTGCCTTTTCCACAGTCTCCTAGATTCCAGTTATGCACCTGGGCCTCCCTTATTTTCATGTCAGTCACTATTCATCATGTAGGGATTCCCAGTTAGCCCCGAGGTAAGTCCAATGGCTGTGAGTATCAAACACACGCTCCTTGTTCCTCCTTAGTTTCCTGTGTACCCAGAGTGCTCTCTGTCTCTCCACAGTCGTCTTGTCATTCTCCCCATGTCATTCCCAGCATTTCAGGCAGAGCCTCTTCCTTCCACATAACATTGTTTTCACCTTTGTGCCTTCACGGCTGACAGCTGTGTGGAAAATCCTTCCGCCAATCTTCCAGGGGTTGATCTATTTTTTTCATTAAGGTCACAAGTATTATTTGATCAGTGAGAACTTCTCTGTCACCCGAAATTATACACTCAGCATTATCTATTATTTCTTTTAAAATACGGCTCGGCGCCTTGGCTCACGCCTCTAATCTCAGCACTTTGGGAGGCTGAGACGGGCGGATCCCTTAAGGTTGGGAGTTTGAGATAGCCTGGGCAACATGGTAAAACCTTGTCTGTACTAAAAAAAAATACCAAAAAAAAATTAGCCAGGCGTGGTGGGACATGGGTGTAATCCCAGCCTCTCGGGAAGCTGAGTGTAGAGAATCGCTTTAACCTGGGAGGTGGAGGTTGCGGTGAGCCGAGATCCCGCCACTGCACTCCAGCCTGGGGCACAGAGGGAGACACCGTCTCATAAAAACAACCAATCAATCAATCATTCTCATGCACAGATGCTTCCCAATGGATCATTCATTTATTGGTCCACTGGTGTATTCATTTTCTGCCCTCCCATTTAATCCTTTGCAATATCAGTGTCCAAGAGCAGAGGCCAAATGCACCTTGTTTACCATTTGTGGAAAGGATAAGAATGCCGCCCCACCCCAAAATGTTCCTGTCCTAGTCGCCATATCTTGTGAATATGTTATTTTACATGGAAAAAAGGAATGCAGATTGCAGATGGAATTACGGTTGCTAATCAGCTAACCTTAAAAGGAGGGTATCCTAGATGATTTTAGGGAAATTATGATGGATTATCTTGGTGTTTCCAATAGAATGCCAAAGTCCTTAAAAGATGAGGAAGAAGGCAGAGCAGCATTCAGAGAAAGAGGTGTGGACAAGGAAGAAGGGTCTGAGTGATGCCGTGTGAGAGGCGTGACCAGCCTTTGTGGACTTTGAGGGAGGAAGACGGGGACCAGGAGCCAAGGAATGTGGGAGCCTCTAGGAGCTGGGAAAAGTGAGGAAGCAGATTCTTGCCTGGAACATTCAGAGGGAAGGCAGCCTTGCTGTCACCTTGATTTTAGCCCAGTGAGATGATGCATTTCATACTTCTGAGCTACAGCACCATGAGATATTTTTTAAAAATGTGGTTTCCATCCACGAAGCTTGTGGAAATTTGTTATGGCAACATAGGAAAAAGTTCCACACTGCACAGTCTGAGCATGGGGCAGTGGCTGAACGAGTAAGTGGAAGTGTCATGTGCACGGATGAACTACGTTCTCTCTTACCGCAAAGCTCTTGTTCCACTAAGTCAACCAGGGTTGGATCATGACAGACAGGAGCTCATTCCTTGGCAAGTAGAACTTCTCTACAAACACACCACCCTCAAAAATGTTCCCCTTCCTTCCCCTTCTCAAGCCCCCAGGCATTTGTCCTCCCAGTTAGGAATGCAGGCAGAACAAACACAGCATTTTTCCTGAGAAGAATGTCTGATTTGCACTCATCCTTCTACCCTGAGGTCTCAGCAGCAGAAAATTAGAGATTAAGAGATTTCACTGAGCCCTGTGCTGGGCCCAGATCCCTTTCGCTGTTGGAGTGTCTGGGGTTCAGAGACAATGGAAGACAGGCCCACAATCACAGAGCTGGCAGGTGCTGAGCCAACGCTTGAATCCAAGGCTTCTACCTCCCCAGGTTTCCAAAAGCAGAGATAAGAGGGGTCCTTCACTTACCAGTTTTGAAGCTTGGTTCAGTGGGTGAAGGCCAACTACTAGAAGGGTTTCCTAGAACATGGGACAGGAGAGAGGTGTGGCAATGAGGATGCCTGTCTTTTCTACTCAATGGAAATCTTTGAGGTTGGTTCATGGCCAACCTTCTATTATCTAATGTTGGGCCCTGGGAGTCCTGGCATCCCATTCTCCATAATCATTGTAGGTGACACCAACTATCTTGAGACTTCAAGGTATAAGGAGAAAACAGGAGCATCACACTACCTGACTTAAAAATATGTTACAGAGCTGTAGTAAGCAAAACAACATGACATTGGCATAAAGAAAAGCACATAAAACAATGAAGCAGAATGAAGAACACGGATGTAATCCACCCATTTACATCCAATGGACTTTGACAAAGGTTCGAAGAATCTACAATCTGGAAAGGACAGTCATTTCAATAAATGGTGCAGGGAAAACTGGATATCTACATGCAGAGGGATGAAACTGCACCTCTACCTCTCACCATACACAAAAATCAGATGAAAATGGATTAATGACTTAAGACCTGAATCCATTAAATGTCTAAAAGGAAACACTGGAGAAATGCTCCAGGACATTTGTCTGAGGGAAGACATTTTGTTTAAAACCTCAAAAACACAAGTAATCACAACAACAACAAAAAAAATAGACCATTGGGATTATATCAAATCAAGCAGCTTCTGCACCGCAAAGGAAGCAACCAATGAAGTGAAGAAGAGAAAACCCACAGAATGGGAGCAAATATTTGCAAACTATGCATCTGAGATGGGATTAATAACTAGAATATAAAAGAAGCTCAAACACCTCAATAAAACTAATAATTTAATTATAAAATTAGTAAAAGACCTGAACAGACATTTCTCAATGAACAAAACATACAAATGAACATATATACATTGCATATATGAAAAAGTGCTCAGTATCACTAATCATCAGAGAAATGCAAATGAAGTCACAATGAGCTATCATCTCACCCCATTACAATGGGTTTTATCTCAGAGACAGACAAAACAAATGTTGGCAAGGTGGTGGAGAAAGGAGAACCCTGATACACTGTTGATAGGAATGTAAATTAATACAGCCATTACAGAGGAGAAGAATATGGAAGTTCCTTAAAAACTGAAAAGAGATTAGGCACTGTGGCTCACGCTTGTAATCCCAGCACCTTGGGAGGCTGAAGTGGGCAGATCACTGGAGGTCAAGAGTTCGAGACCAGCCTGGCTAACATGGTGAAACCCCGTCTCTACTAAAAATACAAAAATCAGCCAGGCTTGGTGGCGGGCACCAGTAATCCCAACTACTCGGGAGGCTGAGGCTGGAGAATCACTTGAATCCTGGAGGTAGAGGTTGCAGTGAGCCCAGGTGGTGCCATTGCACTCCAGCTTGGGCAACAAGAGTGAAACGCTATGTCAAAAAAACAAAAAGCATAAAA
Source organism: Homo sapiens (assembly GCF_000001405.40). NCBI lineage: Eukaryota > Metazoa > Chordata > Mammalia > Primates > Hominidae > Homo > Homo sapiens. Next base: position 81,635 of record NT_187683.1, on the reverse strand, counting down.
CAAAACCTAAAAAGAGAACATCCAGAGGATCTAGCAATTCCACTAGTGGGTGTAAATGCAAAGAAAAGGACTTCAGTGTATTGAAGTGACATCTGCACTCCCATGACTGTTCCAGCACTGTTCACAGTAGCCAAGATGTGGAGTCAACCTACCTGCCCATCAGTGGATGAATGGATAGAGAGAATGTAGTACATACACACAATGGAGACAACTCATCCATAGAAAGAGTAACGTCCTGTCATTTGCAGCCACATGGATGGACTAGAGGTCATTACAAGGATTGCCATTTCTTACTCACATGCAGGATGTAAAAGGTGGACCTCATGAAGGTAGAGAGTAGAATGGTGGATACCAGAGGTTAGGAAGGAAGGGGTGGAGGGTAACAAAAGAAGAATATAAAAGTATTTATTTATTTATTTATTTAGAGACAGAGTCTCTCTGTGTCACCAGGCTGCAGTGCAGTGGCATGATCTCAGCTCACTGCAACCTCCTCCTCCTGGGTTTAAGCCACTCTCCCGCCTCAGCCTCCCAAGTTGCTGGGATTATAGGCGCCTGGCACCATGCCTGGCTAATTTTATTTTTTTTGTCTTTTTAGTAAAGATTGGTTCCCCCATGTTGGCCGGGCTGGTCTCCAGCCCCTGATTTTAAATGATCCACCTGCCTTGGCGTCTCAAAATGCTGAGATTACAGGCGTGAGCCACCGCACACAGCATATAAAGGTATTTATGATCCCTAGATTTTACACTTAAAAATGGTAAAGTTGATAAATTATATAGGTATATTTAACCTCAATCAGCATTTTTTCAAAGGAAAAGAAAAAGTGTAGGGGTTGCTGGTGATGACATCTCTGTGTAGGTGAGAGGCCAGGGTGGGCTTCTGGGAAATGGGTAAGGTTGAGGGGCTGAGGGAACCTCTGATCTCCCCAAACTGAGCCCAGTCTCCCTCCTCTGGGTCTGTCCTGACCACTTTCTCCATCTGCCTGGGTACCCGGAGCCCTTACTGCAAGCTTCCATGCAGGCCATGCAGGAGGGTTTGGAGGTGCCCTGTCTGCCATCCTGTGCCCTGATCCCACCCTCACACCATGCTGCATCTTCTCTCCACATCTGTCCATGCTTCTCTCCATCATCAGCAGGAAGCTCCTCAGCTAAGGCTCTAGGACCATAGGACATGGGACAGACATTGGCTTTCCTCACCTGTGACAGAAACAGGCAGTGGGTCACTCGCGTCTGACCACTCGTAGGGAGATCCATGGAAAGAGCCGAAGCATCTGTAGGTCTCTCCGTGGGTGGCAGGACCCAGAGGGAAGTCGGCCTGGAATGTTCCATTGATGCTGGGCACTGCAGGGAGCCTAAGTTCATGGGCTTCCCCCTCCCTGGATAGATGGTAGATGTCAAAGGAGCTCTGGGAGCTGCAGGACAAGGTCACGTTCTCTCCTGTGCGAACCGTGGGGCCCGGCCGGGCTGTAAGCGAAGGTTTCTCATATAGACCTGGAAGGAGAAGAGGCAGTTTCCTCAGGGAGGTTCTTCCTTGTCACAGCTCCCCTCCCACCTGAGCTGAGAACTCACTGCCCTGCTCTATGGCCTAGTGCTCTCTCTCTCTCTCTCACCCTCCACCCCCAACTCTTCCTGTCGATCCCTCCCTATGTGGTTCCAGCCTGGTGGTGGCATCAGCAGTGCACCCTTGCTGATCTCAGGGTAGCCAACCTTCTTGTTTGGTTTTTTAACTTGTCCTTCACCTGGGTTCCTGTGTTGGTTTCCTGTTGTTGCTGGAGAAAATTATCACAAACATGGCGACAGGAGAGAACACACTGACCCCTTCCACTTCTGGAGACAGAAATCAGACCCTGTTCTTCCTGGGCTACAATCAATGCATCTGCAGGGCTGCATTCCCTCTGGAGACTCGGGAGAATCAGTTCCATTGATTTCTCCAGCCCCTTCGTGGCTCGTGGTCTTCCTCCACCTTCAAAGCCCACAGTGGCTGGTGGAGTATCCCACGATGCTGCTCTAATCCCCATTCTCCTCTTCCTTCTCCACTCATATGGACCCTTGTGATTACACTGAGCCCAGTGGGAGAGTCCAGGCCATCTCCCCATCTCAAGGTCAACTCATCAACAACCTGAGCTCCATCTTCCCCTTCAGTCCCCTGCCCTATAACATAGTCACAGGCTCCAAGGATTACAATGTGGCCATCGATGGGGACAGTTATTCTTTCCAACACAGCACCCATTCCCCTGTATTCAATCCCCCTTTACCCCAAATATAGTTGGGGCCTGGATGATCGGACTCTGGTGGACACCCCCACCAGAAGCTCTGGGACTCAGGAGGTGGGACAAGGAGAAGCCCAGACAGGAGCCCTCTGACCTGTGACCATGATCACCAGGGGGTTGCTGGGTGCCGACCACTCAGTGGGGGAGTGCGGGTGAAAACCTCGACATCTGTAGGTCCCTGCGTGTGCTGGGGTCACAGGGCTAATGAGGAAACTGTTCCAGAATATTCTGTTGTAGAGCTCAGGGACAGGGACCCCATCTTTCTTGTACAGCGTGAAGATGTTAAACCCACGACGATAGTGACACCGAAGAGTCACGTGTCCTCCTTGAGGCACCACAGCGCTGGGCCAGGCAGAGCAGAAGGGCTTGTCCTGACCACCTTGGGGAGAAGGAGATGCCGCCTCAGAGAGGAGTATGTTGAGCTGCCCCTCCCTCCCTGTGCTCAGAAGATTCTCCCCATTTCTTCTTTCTAAGGCTCCTACCACACCTGGGTGCCTGGGGCTACAGGAAGGACCCATCCCGCATAGACGTGGCGTCTCCCTACAACAAAAGTGTCAGTTGAGAACTGAGCAGGTGCTGAGTAAGGGACTCTTACTAGATTTTAATACTGCAAGATTAGTTACACCAAACAACACAAAGTAGACATGGGGTGGAGGGTATGACCTTTGTGAATGGAATATTAGCTAATGCCTGAACCACAATAAACAACTGAGCTCCATCAGAGGATTTGGAATGGCAGGGTCGTGGCTGTGGTTCCCCCACCTCTTCTGGCAGAATGACAGCAGCCACACTGCAGCCCCTACCGTCATGGAAACGCTGGAGGGTGTGAGTTACCCTCTTGTCCTCAGAGGACCTGCTGTTCCTAACACTGCTACCCTTCCCTCCTCTGTCGGTGACACCACATCCCCCCACACACCCCAGCTTTGAGCACCTCAGTATCCCGCCTGGGCCACACAGAGCTCAACTCAGCCATGGGGAAGAAAGGCTGGGGAGGGCTAAGACAAAACAGAGGGCTGAGCATACCAGGATCTCCTCTTACTAGTTCATGAGAGACTCCCAGGATCTCCTCTTACTAGTTCATGAGAGACTCCCAGGATCTCCTCTTACTAGTTCATGAGAGACTCCCAGGATCTCCTCTTACTAGTTCATGAGAGACTCCCCCCAGGCCTTCCCATGGTCAGCCCATCAGCCCACCCTCTGTGCTGCCTCCCTCCCATTTCCGGAAAATTCACTTGTATTGGGGTGAAGATGGCAACCCATCATTTGGGGAAGGACTCACCCACGTGTGCCCACACACTCTGGTCCAAGAAGAACCCTGCAAAGAAAGATCATGATGAACTATTCATCTCGGCACCAACCTACCCTTTCCTCCTGAGCCACTGGGCGCCACGCTGGACTGAAAATTAACTCATCCTCACCACTCACTTGCTTCAGAACATGGCTCTCTGCTGGGGAGACACCCAATCTGCAGGCCCATAGTGTAACCCTGGTGCTCCTTCCCTTCCAGGACTCACCAAGACATGCCAGGATGATGACCGTGGGTGACATGGACATGGTGCAGCTTCTGCTGCCAGGACGCAGTGACTCGGCTCGACTGACCGGTGCAGAGGATGTGGTGAGGGGCCCGGATCGTGCAGTTGACACATTGACCACAACATGTGAAGGGGACATAGGTAGGCTTCTTCTACGTCATATGAGGTTCAAGTGGTGAGTCAGTCAAGGGAGGAATGAGGGTTTCTGAAAACTGCAGACTAGACTTGTCAGTTCACATCATGCGCAACGGCCAGGCTCAAAACACATCTCAGACTCACTTACCCCTGCACGGGACGATTGAATTCTGCACTCACATGAGGAACTTTTGATGTATTTTTTTTTGTTTCTACCTGAGATTCAAACTCTCCTTGATATGTAATATGCAAAATACCTAATAGGTTTTATTAACACTATAGAGCAATCGTATTAAATAAATCATCATAATTTTCCATGGTTGTATTTTTCCTGTTAAGCCAGAAACAGATAAAATGATTTAAATCCCAGTAGAAAAGACTATATAGTTATTTCGCATCATAGAATTCCACCTTATTAGCAAAAACACAATATGTCAATTGAAGGTCTGGTCGTGTTATCTAGAATTTGTCTTATGACACAAGAGTCCAAATTCACAGTTCCCTGTCTCCCTTTTTGTCTCTCTGTAACGTGTGCTTTTTTTCTCCCTGTGTTGTTTGTGTGTCTTTCTTTCTCTCTCTCATTTGAGGAAAAAATATCAGACTGATAACATCCTCCAACTTGATACTGGAATATTGCAATAACTGAAGGTTGAAATCTACACATTTAATGTGCTGTCATTCTTACAAATGTCTCTTATTTACACCTACCTTTCTGGAGTTTGTAAGAACTTTTTCACTATGCATTTTAAATTTGTAAAACTCATAATTTTTAAAAAGGGATGGGTCTCACTGTTTGCCCAGGGTGGCCTTTACTCATTCTATAAGGCTGGCATCACCCTGATACTAAAGACAGAAAAGAATATTAAACAAAAGAAAACTACATGCCAATATTCCTGATGAGCATAGATGCAAAAATCCACAAAAAATACTAAGAACTGAATCCCGCAGCATATCAAAAAGTGAATCCACCATGATCAAGTCAACTTTATTCTTAGGGTGCAAGGTTGGTTGAACATACACAATCAATACATGTGATTCATCACCTAAACAAAACTAAAAACAAAAACCACATGATCTTCTCAACACACATGTAGAACATACTTTTTACTAAGCATTTCTTCATGTTAAAAGCCCTCAACAAGCTAAGCATTGAAGAAACATAACTCAATATAATAAGAGCCGCCTATGACAAACCCACAACCAACATCATACTGAATGAGTAAAAGCTGGAAGAAGTTCCCTTCATAAGTGAAACAAGACAAGAATGCCCACTCTCACCATCCTATTCAACATAGTACTTGAAGTCCTAGACAGAGCCATCAGGAAAGAGAAAGAATTATAAGGCATCCAAGTAAGAAGAGAGTAGCAGAGAGAGGTAGTCAAATTACCTCTGTTTGAAGATGAGATAATTTCTATACCTAGAAACCCCATAGTCTCTGCCCAAAGGCTCCTACATCTGAGAAACAAACTTCAGCACAGTTTAAGGGCAGAAAGTCAATGTACAGGCTGGGTGTGGTGTCTCAGCCTGAAATCTAGCACTTTGGGAGGGCGAAGCGGGTGGATCACCTGAGGTCTGGAGTTCGAGACCAGCCTGGCCAACATGGCGAAACCCTGTCTCTACTAGAAACACAAATATAGCCGGACGGGGTGGTACGCAACTGTAGTCCCAGCTGCTTGGGAGGCTGAGTCAGGAGAACCGCTTGAACCTGGGAGGCAGAGGTTGCAGTGAGCGGAGATCACGCCATTGCACCTCAGCTTGGGCAACAACAGTGAAACTGCGTCTCAAAAAAAAAGCCAAAACAAATTTAATTAATGAGGAAAAGGGTATTTGTGGTGTCCATCATGATGTTTTCATATAGGTACACATTGTGGAATGGATGAAACAACCTCTTTATCTATTTATTTTTTCACATACTTGTATGTTTTGTGTGTGTGGTGAGAACATGTAAAATCTAATCTCTTAGTAATGTTCAATACACCATATGTTGCTATTAAATGGAGTCACCAAGACATACAATAGATCTCTTGAACCGATTTCTTCTAACTGAAATTTTGCATCCTTTGACCAACATCTCTTCAATCTCTCTCCTTCCCAGGTTCTTTCGACGACCATTTTACTGTTCCTCTAGGTTCCACTTCTTACACTCCACACATGAGATCATGTGGCATTTGTCTTTCTGTGCCTGGATTGTTTCCCTTAACATAATGTCCTCTAAGTTTTTTCACATTGTCACAAATGAGAGGACTTCCTTCTTTGTTGTAAAGGTTGTATAGTACTTCATTACGTTCCTATCGTATACCACGTTTTCTTTGTCCATGCACCCATAGATGGGCAGTAAGGGTGATTCCACATCTTGGCTGTTATGAATAATGCGGCTGTAAACATGGGAATGCAGATATCTCTTCAACATACTGATTCCACTTCCTTTGGATACATGCGCAGTAGTTGGATTGCAGACACATATGGGAATTCTATGTTTAATTTTTTCAGGAACTTCCAGACTGTTTTCCATAATGGTTGTGCTAATTTACATTCCCATCAACTGCATACAAATGTTCCCTTTTCTCCACATCCTCGTTAATGCTTGTTATTTTTTATGTTTTTGATAATGGTCTTTTTTTTTTTTTTTTTGAGACTCAGTCTTGCTCTGTCACCCAGGCTGGAGTGCAGTGGCACAATCTCGGTGTACTGCAACCTCTGCCTCCTGGGTTCAAGCGATTCCCCTGCCTCAGTCTCCAGAGTAGCTGGGACTACAAGTGTGCGCCACCAAACTCTGCTAATTTTTGTATTTTTAGTAGGGATGGGATTTCACCATATTGGCCAGGCTGGTTTCGAACTGCTGACCTCAGGTAATCTCCCTGCCTCGGCCTCCCAAAGTGCCTGAATTACAGGCATGAGCCACCATGCCCAGACTGTTAATGGTCATTCTAAGAGGTGTGAGGTGATATCTCATTCTAGTTTTAATTTTTATTTAGCTGATGTTTAGTAATGCTAATCATTTTTTCATATACCTTTTGGTGATTTGTCTTATTCTTAGAAATGTTTATTCAGATACTTTGCCCATTTTTTTAAGTTGGGTTATTTGATTTCTTACCATTGAGTTGTTTGAGTTTCTTATATATTTTGGATATTAATTCCTTATTAGATGTATGGGTGCAAATATATTCTCCCATTCCATAGGTTGTCTTTCCACTTGTTGAGTTTTTTTTTTTCTTTGCAGAAACTTTCAATTTGATATAATGTTATTTGTCTACTTTTGCTTTTGTTGCCTGGGCCTTTGGGTTAATATCCAAAATGGTTTTGCCCAAGCCAGTGGAGTTTTCCCTTGATTTCTTTTAGTAGTTTTTTTTTTTTTTAAGATGGAGTCTCACTCTGTTGCCCCGGCTGGAGTGCAGTGATGCGATCTCGGCTCACTGCAACCTCTACCTCCTGGGTTCAAGTGATTCTCCTGTCTCAACCTCCCGAGTAGCTGAGATTACAGGCACCCACAACCACACCCAGCTGTTTTTGTATTTTTAGTAGAGGCGGGATTTCACCATGTTGGCCATGCTGGTCTTGGAATCCTGACCTTAGGTGATCTGCCCGCCTTGGCCTCCCAAATTGCTGGGATGATAGTCTTTCACCTTACATTTAAGTCATTAATCTATCTTGAGTTGACTTTGTATGTTTTGTGAGGCAAATGTCCACTTCCATTCTTCTGCATGTCTCCCAATCCCATTTATTAAAGAGACTGTTCCTTCTCCATTGTGTGTTCTTGATACATCCCAAAAATTGTTTGACCCTAAATGCGTGCATTTTTTTTCCTGGGCTATGAATCACTTCCATTGGTCTATGTGTCTGTTTTTATGCAAGTACTGTGTTGTTTTAATTACTGTAACTTTGTAATGTAGTTTGTGTTTAGGTAATGTGATGCTTCCAACTTTGTTCCTTTCCCTCTAGATGGCTTTGGTTATTTGAGATCTTTTGTGGTTCCACATGAATTTTAGGACTGTTTTTTCTATTTCTGTAAAAAAAAATGTCATTGGATTTTTGATAATGGTTGCATTGAATCACTTTGGATAGAATGGACATTTTAACAACATTAATCCTTCTGATCCGTGAACATGGAATATCTTTCGATTTATTTGTTTATTTCTTGAGTTTTTTCATCAATGTTTTATAGCTTTTGCATACAGATCTTTCTACTCCTTGGGTGAATTTATTCCTGCATGTTTTGTTTTCTGTAGTTATTGCAAATGGGCTTATTTTCTTGTAAACTTTTTTGGATAGTTTGTTGTTAATGTATAGAAACTTTGTTGTTGTTGTTGTTGTTGTTGTTTTGATGATACCCATCCTAAGGGGTATGAAATGGCATCTGGTGTAGTTTTAGTTAGTATTTCCCTAATGATTCGTGATGCTGAATATCTTGTCATGCGTATGTTCTTTGGAGAAATGTCTGTTTCAGTACTTTGCCCATTTTTGAATTGAGTTTATTGTGATTGAGTTTTAGGAGTTGTCTGTATATTCTGGATGTTAATCCCTTACAGGTGGTGTGGTTTGAAAACATTTTCTCCCATTCTGTGGGTTGTCTTTTTACTTTGATAATATCGTCTTAAAAGTTCTTTTTCCTTGCCATGTGAAGTAACTGATGTTGTCTTTTGAGTCACAATATTTCAAAATTTTCATAAAGTCTAACTTGTTTATTTTTTCTGTAGTAGCCTGTGCCGTTGTTGTCACATCTAAAGAATCACTGCCAAATCCGATGTTGTGAAGTTTTCCTTTGTGTTTTCTTCTAAGACTTTAATTAAATTTTATTTGTCAATATTTAGGACTGACAAAAGCTTTTTAACATTCCTGGCACCATCTCAGTTATTGATCTACTCCCAAGATGGATCATTTCAATTAAAACATGTAAAGCATGACCTCACCTGAATGTGTTTGAACTTGCTCTTCTCCCTTTCAAATCGACTCCCTCACTTACATAGTTTGTGTTCAAATGTCAACAAATAAAACATAAAAAGAAATCAATCTTTTCATAGACCCTTTATCTAAAATAGAATAGTAGGTGCCATGACATTTCATCCTTTCATCTTGAATTATTTACTTTTCTACATGAACCAATCCATTCTTCTGTGTGCATGTGTGTGTGTGTGTGTGTGTAGTTTATCTGTCTACATATAATGTAAACACCAAAAAATAACAGACATTTAGTAATTTTCAAATGAGACTTCAGGAATTAACAATGGCTTGCCATTTTTAGTGTGTTATTATTATTATATTTAGATGAACAGAATTGCCTCAGGAACATGGCCAGGGGCTCATAGTCCAGGAGAACTGTGGCCTGACTCAGGTACATTTTACCTGCAATAACAGCAATTGCAGGTCACTGGAGTCCATCACAATTGGCTGGAGACAAATGTAAGACAAGAATATTTGCAGTTTCCCCAGACTGACACAGTTGCAGGTTCCCCGAAGTAATGAGTCCTGAGACACCTCCAACAAGAGCTAGAAAAGGTATCACTTCAAGAGGAGTTGCAGCCTACTCATTTTAGACAAATGGAGCAAAATTACAGTATCACATCTTTTCCTTTCTCCTTCATAGAATCTGGATGAACAGAACAGAAAGAGTTAATGGAATATAAGATTCCAATTCTCTGGCATGAGAAAATAGACAAGGAAAGGAAGATTCATCTTCATCACATCTCAGACATGCTTGGACACAGGGTCCAAGCACAAAAGAGAAACACATACTTCTTCCCATCCACACTGGGATCCAGGGTCTTCTCCCTCCTGTCAGGCCAGAACTGAGTCTCCACTCCCCAATTTAGTTCCCAGAGATGAAGCCCAATTTTCCTCTGTCTCAAGCTTTGAAGGCCAGCTTTAGCGTGTTCACCATGGATGAATGAAGGTGAGGTCAGAGGTTTGGGAAATGGTCAAGAATGAGGTGAGAAGAGAGCTGTGGAGGCATGGCCCCGGGGAGCTTGGTACCCCCCCATATCCAGAGCCTGTCTGGTCCAGGAGAGTTCCCAACCCTGTGAGCACCAACTCCGGATATTCTGGGCAGTGACCCGAGGGACAGCCTCTTATGAATACAGGCTGTTTTCCTCCAGTGTCTGCTGTGAAACCAGGATGTACAACATGGCCGTGTTCAACCCAACAATGGACTTAGGATTTTGCTGTACGCCAAAACTCAGTGTCCAACTTCCACTCTGTTTAGCTGGAAAAAGAAGGGGTTTGTTCCCATACATCTCACTCCTGTGTTCCTCTTTCAGTCTCAAAGCTCAGATGAAAACAATGAGTGTCACTTATTGTCAATCCTCTTCCCTGCCTTTTCCACACTCATCAGTATTACCGTTTACATTGAGACTAAAGATGGCCAATCACCACTTTTCTTCGGAAAAATCAACCTGATGTTGTACCTACTTTTTTAGAGGTGGAATCAACCTACCCTAAGATGCCAACTACATTTTACTGAATGGACTTTTGTGGATCCCCTCGATGTATATAGTGGCACCTTGAGGTATCATCCCTGTCTTTAGCAAATGAATATTATCCCAAGGACAATATTTCATCACAATTATTCGGGATGGACGAGTGGATATTGTGGTAGCAAGAACATTACTAAAAGTCACAGCTGATACAACACACTTGAAACCCATCTGGCCAATCTCCCACAGACAGAATGTCGCGCCATTCACTCCAGCCAGCTTCAGTCATGTTTCTTCCATTTCCACCTGTGGCCCCTCATGTCTCCACCAGGTCTTAGCCAGCATTGCCAAAAGAGCCAGGAAGACCAGACCAGCCACAACAATCCTGATGGAACTCTCCACAGTATAGTTCTGGAGAACAGGGGCTGGAGGGTGGGGGTAAGATCAGAGACCTTTCCATGTGGGCCAGGCCCCTCTCTCCCCAGAAGCTCTGAAATGGAGCTATTTCCCCATCTCACCTTCATAAAATTCTTCCTGTCCAGAACCCCTCTTCTCCCTATATCATCATGAGCACCTTCAGAAGTCTTTTGCCACAAAAAGAAATTTCTTTTGAAGATATACATTTTTTTGTACATTTCAAAAATGTTCCCAAACTAATTCTCCAAAGCAATAAATGTTTGTGTGTATTGCTGGGTAGGTTATGCATACAAGGAAAGGAAGCATAGTGAGTCTGATTTGGCAGAGGAAACATATGTGGAAATTATATCATTTACTCTCTTTACAAAATTAAGTACAAAATTGAAAACACTGGTAAGAAAGAATGAGCTATAGAGAAAGAAAACATCTGAGATGCTTGTTTCCAAGATGGCTGACTAAATGCTTTTCTGGCATGTCTCATCCACTTAGAAGAACGAGCAGAATCCAGAACAAAAACCATATGATCATCTCAATAGACATAAAGAAAAGCATCTGAAAAGAAATTCAACATCCTTACCTGATGAAAACCCTCAAAAACTTAGGCATAGAAAGAACATACCTCAAAATAATAAAAGCCATAGATGACATATCTAGAGTCAACATCATACTGAACAGGAAAAGTTAAAAGCACTCCTCTGAGAACTGGCACAAGACAAGGACACGGACATCCACCACTTCCTATCAACATAGTACTGGAAGCCTTGTCAGAGCTATTGGGCAACAGGAAGAATTAAAAATCCAAATTAGAAAAGAGGAAGTAAAATTATTTTTATTTCTGATGCTATGATCTTAAATCTAGAAAATCCTAAAGACCCTGCCAAAAATTCTTATGATTGATAAATGAACTAAGTAAAGTTTCAGAATACAAAATCAATATGTAAAAGCCGGTAGCATTTCTCTACACCTATAATGATCTAGCTGAGAACCAAATCAAGAAGGCAATGCCGTTTACAATAGATACGCAAAATTAAAACACTCAGGAATACATTTAACCAAGGTGGTGAAAGAGCTGTACCAGGAAAGGTGTAAGACACCAATGAAAGCAATTATAGATAATACAAAAAAAAAAAAAGAAAAAAAATCCCACGCTCATGGATCATAAGAATTAATATTGTTAAAATGACCATACTGCCTAAAGCAATCTACAGATTCAGTGCAATTCTTATATGAAAATAGTAACACCAGCTTTCACAGAATTAGAAAAAGCAATCCTAAAATTCATACAGAACCAAAAAAGATCCTAATAGAGAAAGCAATTCTAGGTGAATGTAGAAACCTGGAGGCATCACGCTATCTGACTTCAAACTATGCTCTAAGGCTATAGTAACTTAAATAGCACAGTGCTGGTATAGACACAGAAACAGAGATCAATAGACCAGAATAGAGAGCCCAGAAATACAGCCTCATATCTACAGTGAATAATCATTGACGACGTTAACAAAACATACACTGGAGAAAGATTTCCTTTTCAATAAAAGGTGCTGGGAAAACTAAATAGCCATATGCAGAAGAATAAAACTGGACCTGTATCTGTAATCATACACATAAATTAACTTAAGGTAATTAGCAGCTTAAATGTAAATCCAGAACTATAAAATCACCGGTGGAAACCCAAAGAGAAACTCTTCTGGGCATTGGTCTGGGCAAAGAATTCATCACTAAGACCTCAAAAGCACAGGCAATAAAAATAAAACTAGACCAATGGGACTTAATAAACGAAAGAGCTTCTGCCAAGCAAAGGAAATAGTAGCAGGGTGAACAGACAACCCACAGAATGAATGGAAATGTTTGCAAACTATGCACCCAACAGAGGACTAACATCCAGAATTTCTAGGCAACTCAAACAACTAAACATAACCCCTCAAATAATAGCATTAAAAAGTGGGCAAAGGGATATACATAGACATTTTTCAAAAGAAGACATACGAATGGCCAAACAGCGTATGAACATCACTAATCATCAGAGAAATGCAAATTGAAACCACAATGAGATATCATCTTACAGTAGTCAGAATGGCTATTACTAAAAATGCTGGTGGGGAGTGGTGGCTCACGCTTGTAATCCCAGCACTTTGGGAAGCTGAGGCGGGTGGATCATGAGGTCAGGAGTTTGAGACCAGCCTGACCAACATAGTGAAACCCCATCTCTACTAAATATACAAAAGATTAGCTGGGCATGGTGGTGTGGTTCTGTAATCCCAGCTACTCAGGAGGCTGAGGCAGGAGAATCATTTGAACCTGGTTGGTGGAGGTTGCAGCGCGTGGAGATGGCGGCACTGCACTCCAGCCTGGGTGACAGTGGAAGACTCCATCTCAAAAAGAAAAAAAGAAAAAGTGAAACATATAACAGGTGTTGGCAAGGATGCAGAGAAAAGGAAACTCTTATACACTGTTGGCCGGTATGTAAATTAGTATAGCCTCTATGGAAGACAGTATGGAAATTTGGCAGAGAACCAAAAATAGAAGCACCATTCGATCTAGGGGTCCCGCTGCTGGGTATCTACTCAAAAAATACCTGCACCTGTATGTTTATTGCAGCACTGTTTGCAATAGCAAAGATATGAAATCAATCTAAGTGTCTGTGAATGAATGATTGGATTAAAAAAAGGATGCGTGTATACACAACGAAATACTATTTGGTCATAAAAATAAAACCATGTCTTTTGCAGCAACATAGATGGAGCTGGACGCCATTATTTTACATAAAACCACTCAGAAAGACAAATACCACATCTTCTCACTCTACATGGGAGGGGAGTAATGTGTACATATGGACGTAGAGTGTGGAATGACGGACAGCGGAGGCTAGAAGGCTGGAGGGTGGCGGGACGTGGGTGAGTGATGAGAATTTGCTTAATGAGTACAATGTACGGTATTTGGGTGATGGATATAGTAAAAGTCCTGACTTCACTACTCTGCAACATACTCATGTCACAAAATTACAAGTGTACCTCATAAATTTATACTAATAGAAAAGAAAGTCTGTACACAGTAATCAATTGTGATATGTAGATAAAGTCAATATTAAATTTAAACCAGAATAACTAGTTAAAATGTTGTGTACACAACAGTGAAGAGAGTATTTATCCTCTATGACAGAGGAAACCATCAATATTAATGCACAGAAAAAGCAAATAACTGAAACAAGAAAGAGCAGTTTTGTGACAGGGTAAAAATTGACAACAGTTTTAGAATGCTCCTAACTTGAGTTCCAAAAAGAAAGAACGAGAAAACAGGTCAGAAGCAATCTTTAAAGAGGCAATTGTTGATTATTTGGAGGAAGTAGACACATCCATCAATCCACAGGTTCAAGAAATCCAGTGAATGCCAGGCAGAATGAAGTAAACACACCTCACGTTCAACATTACAGAAAAGCAGCATAAAAGCACAACCAACCCTTAAAATTAGCCAGAGGAAAAGGATCAGCTGGTAAGGATTTATAGGGAGCCAAGCATTGTCTTCCCCACAGAAAAAAGGAAAACATAAGCCAGTAGAATAGCATCTTTACCCAGCTAAGATACCGTCGCCAGCCACCGACAATTCCTTACATAGTACAGTTACTGTCCAAGATCAACGCAGGAAAGAAACAGAACTGAAAGACAAAAGGGCAAAGAAAGCTTTTCTCACTGACCCTAAAGGAAATTCTGATGACCGTGCCTCAAAGATAAAGAAAGTGAAACCAGATGGGGTGTCGAAGATTCTGACAATAACTAAGAGCAGAGGAAGAACTAAAAATATGGCTATGCCAAAAATGAATATGGACCATACGATAGTGTATGAAAACACGCCCCTGTGTAATTTCTGAAAAAGATAGAATTATGTATACCACAAAACAAAACATCATATAAGTAAATACAAACATATGTACTAAATATGCTCTAAAATCCTGTTCTTACACAGGAAGAGTGGAAATATGTTTTTATATTTGCAGTTTAATCTCTGAAATGATTAATTTCAATTTTAAAAATATGTAACAACTTCAGGATGAGTACACCATATATGTATTCCTAAACGACATAGATCAAAAATAGAATGTTTGAAATAGAAAACCACAGAAGTCAGTGGGAAAAAAAGGGAATCAGGAAAACACAACGTAATAATAACAAAAATATGATTGGAAGAACTGCTCAAACATGAACAAAAGATTGTCAGAAAGTCTTACTTTCTAAGGCGAATTGTTTGAAATTTACAAAGGACACATCTCAATGTTAACAATTCATGGAGTTTGAAATTAAACAATGTAGAAATATACCAAGCAATCACTGTTAGAAATGTGGTATAACTATATTAAAATTAGACAAAATTAGTCTTTGGGAAAAATCAGCGGAAAACATTAAGCATAAAATGTAGGAAAAAAGCAGGTAAATTTATAGCATTTTAAATTTACCAGGAATATATAATCAGTTTACACTTAACCACTCCCAGTAATATTCCTGCAAATATACATGGAGGAAGAGTCGCGGAAATAAATGGACAGGTAGGCAAATCCACGGCCACAGTGGGGTGTTTAACACTCCTCTTTTCTCAGTTGTTGATAGAAGTGGTTCAGGCAATTAGAGAGGATTTAGAAAGATAATTGCTGGACCTGACCCAAGGTATAAGTCCACTCCCAACCACAGGACTCACTTTCCTTACAAGCACAAGGGCATTTAGAAATCTCTCTGGATTCTGACCAGCCCTCACCATATGGCAGGTCCATGGACTTCTTGGAACACACCAAGCTCATTCTCACATTAGGGTCATCCCCAATGTCCTAAGTCCATGAAAGTTCCTTTCAACACACTCCCCAGGGCTCACTCCCTCTTGTCTCTAAGATCGGAGTTTAAATGTGATCTCTCTGATGAGGTCTCAGTGAGACGTTCCCTCCTGTACACTCCAAATGACAACGTTCCACGTTCATTCATTTCATTCTGTGCATGGCACTTTCACCAAGTGCTAAGGATTCACTCACTAATTCATACATTCATTCATTCATTCATTCACTCATTCCATCATTCACTCATTCATTCATTCTCTCATTCATTCATTCATGTTCTGCCTCTCTCTCCCACCCCACAGCAATGTGAGCATCATGAACCCAGGAGCTTGGCCGTGCTGTCTACTCCTGGCCATGAAACAGAGAGAACTGATGGTAGGTGTGAAATAAATATTAGATGAATGAGTTAGTGAAGGGGTCATTTACTGGGTGAGCTCAGTTCTCTCTACTCTAATGCCCTCCCTCGGCTGACTTCCCTGAGTTGCCCCCTCGGCTGAGTGAAGTCCCTTCACTGGCAAATGGAACCTCAACCAGTAGCACCTAGGTGGTCTCATACTTTGTTCTTTCCCTCTCCTCTTGCTCCCTAAGGATTATCAATCTCCATGACAGGGCTGGAGAGCAGACAAGCCACACATTCTTTCTGGGGAGAGAGTAACATGGAGTACAAGGCATTCCACATTTAGGAAGAGAACTCAGTTATGGAAGGTCAGAAATGAAAAGTTCCTACAGACCAACACCCAGGTTGGTGGCCACAGCCCTAAATGCTGATGGAGAATCACTGCAAGTCTGTAGGGAAGATGTCTGGCTTGAGGCCACTGAGCGAAGTGGCAGATCCTTCTCAGCCTTCAGTGCTGAGCCTCTGTCCCCTCAGGGATCCACTGACCAATGAGAAGAGCCTCTTCTCATCTCCTGGGATGGAGCTTGGGGCCCCTGGCGAAGGAATGGGCCTGTTTCCACCTGTCATGTTGTCATCTAGCTTGGAAATCCTGCGAGTCCCAGGGAGGCCCTCCCCGAGTCCCCAGAGAAGACTCCCCCACTGAGTCTCCAAGGTGTGGAGAGAGCAAAAAACATCTAGGGTGGAAAATGCCTCCCATCAAGAGACATTGGGGCTCCCCCAACGATGGTTGCATCTGTGCCCCCCATGTGGAAATCACTCTTTGGTGAGAGGTGGGGGCTTCTGGAAATGGGCAATGGCGGGCGGCCAATGCTACCTCTAGTCTTTCCAATCTGAGCCCGGCCTTTCATGCTCCTGAGTCAGCATTGATGCTGTTTACATGTGTCCCAGGTGGGCTTCTGTACAAAGACTGGGAAGTGGTTTATGTGGCCTGTGCTTTATCTGCAAGCTTCAGGTAGGGTTGCAGTTACCACCCCAAACCCTAATGTGATCTGTCTGCCTCGCTCTGTCTGTCTGTCTATGCCTCTTTCTGTATGTTTGCTTTGTGTCTCTTCTGTCCAGCATCTCTGGCTGACACCCCCATGGCCACCCCCTCCATCTGAGGCTCCCCTGAATGTGGCCATTGTAGTCCGTCTGAGTCCCACTATTTGGGGAACAGACTGGTTTCCTCACCTGTGACAGAAACAAGCAGTGGGTCACTAAGGTCTGACCACTCGTAGGGAGAGTCACGGAAAGAGCCGAAGCATCTGTAGGTCCCTCCGTGGGTGGCAGGGCCCAGAGGAAAGTTGGCCTGGAAGGTTCCATTGACCTTGGGCACTGCAGGGAACCTAAGTTCATGAGCCTCCCCCTCCCTTGATAGATGGTAGATGTCATAGGAGCTCCGGGAGCTGCAGGACAAGGTCACGCTCTCTCCTGCCTTAACCATGGGGCGCGGCTGGGCTGAGAGAGAAGGTTTCCCACATAGACCTGGAAGGAGAAGAGGCAGTTTCCTCAGGGAGGTTCTTCCTTGTCACAACTCCCCTCCCACCTGAGCTGAGAACTCACTCCCCTGCTCTATGGCCTAATGCTCTCTCTCTCTGTCTCACCCTCCACACCATCTCTCTTTATGTCTATTTCCTCTTTCCACCTTCTCTGTCTCTCTAGGTCTCTGACCTCACTTTCTCACCTCTAGATATGTTTTCCCTTTTTGGATTGTTTTATTCTCTCTGACTCTCCTTGGACTAGTTGACTTGATGTTACTTTTTTTAAATTCTGAGTTTCTCACTTTGTGTCCTGTTCATAACTTTCTGCATATTTCTATCTATTATCTATCGATATATCTATTTATCTATTTGGTGCCTATCTACAAATTCTCTACCTGTCATCTATATCTATATATAATCTATTTATCTATCAATTGTCTATCCAAAAATCATCTATTATCTATATCTATGTATCATCTCTCTCTCTCTATGATTTCTCTTTGTCTGCCTCTCTATCTCTATGTATTATCTATCTATCTTCATCTTCATCATCTCTATGTATCATCGATTAATCAATGAATGAATCAATCATCATCTATGTATCTATAACCTATTATCTATCATCTACCTATTTATCATCTATCTATATCTATCCATCTATCATCTGTCTTGCTCTGCCTCTCGGTCTCTCTAGTTCTCTTTGGAATCTCTGCAATTCATCCCCACATCTCCATCTTTCTATGTCCTTGTGTCTCTCCCTCAGGACTCTAATTTTAGTGCTTTTCTCTGTTCCCTTCCATTGTTCTCTCCACTTCTCTGCCCTCTTTTCTCCCTCTTTATGTGTCTGTGAGTCTCTCAATCTCCTTCCTCTGGCTCATTCTCTGTGTGTTTATGTCTTTGCTTTTTGGTGTCCCTGATTTCTCTCTGTGTCTCTCAGTGATCCTCTCATATGTGGGGTTATTTGGAATGTGAGCCTCAGAATCCAGTCTGGGGACCGCAAGTTCACACAGTATACAGGGGTTGATGTTCTGGGGCCATGATATCCTGGGACGATTACTCTCCATTGCATGGAAGGCAGAGGTGTCAGAATAAACACGGCATCTGTAGGTGCCAGAAGGCCTGAGGCCACAGGGCCCAACTCAGGCCAGAAATATGGGTGTCCTTGGGTTCTTCTGGTAGAGAACACTTTGTGGAAGTAAAACAGAAATGAAACTTCTAACCTGTGCCAGGTCTCTGAGCAAAGTCAGCATGGAAGGACACCTCTCTCTGGCACATGTCTGTCTGTGTCTCCTTTAACTCTTTCTGTCTTTTCTAACTCCCTGTATGGCCCCTGTGTCTGTCCTCTGTTATGACACCTGGTCTGTACTTGTGCCTCCTGTTTCTCTGTCTCTGTTGGTACAGACCTCACCAAGTTAGTCTCTCTCCATAAGAATACCAAGCTCATCTTCCTTATAACCACCTGGGCCTCCAAGTCGTGGATCATTCACTCTGTGTCCCAGTGACAATGAGAATAATGTCCAGACACTCTCACCTGTAATCACGATGTCCAGAGGGTCACTGGGAGCTGACAACTGATAGGGGGAATGAGGAACAGAACCGTAGCATCTGTAGGTCCCTGCAAGGTCTTGCGTCATGCGACCGATGGAGAAGTTGGCCTTGGAGACCCCATCATGGAGCTCTCCAGTGAGGCGCAAAGTGTCATTAAACTTCCCCTCTCTGTGCAGAAGGAAGTGCTCAAACATGACATCTGACCAACATTGCAGGATGACTGTCTCTTCTGATTTCACCAGGGGACCTGGGTGGGCCAGGAGGGAAGGTTTTCTGTGGACTCCTAGGAAGAGAGGTTGTGACTTTAGAAGGCATCTCTCTTTATCATCCCATCCATGGCACCTAGAATGAGTGAGGCTTCCCCTCGCTGGTGTCTTATCTCTCTCCTTCCTCTCTGTGTCTTCATGTTCTTTTCTGTGCCCATAACTCCTGGTACAGGTCCTTCCATCTGTCTCCCTCCCTCTTCTCTGTCCCTCTGTCTCTAGTAGCTCCTGATTCCCTTGCCGCTGGGCTCAGCCTCATCTCTTGGGCTGTTGTATCTATTTCGAACTAATGTCTTTCCTGCTTCTATGTGGGGGTGGAAGAGGAACCAGGATAGGCTGCACGTCCAGGCTCTTAGCAGACTGGTTCAATCTCTTTTGGACGAATTGGAATCCTTGGCAGAAGGTATGAACTGATCAGTAAGGCAGGCACCAGTGTCCACACACCCTGTTCCTGGTGGGGACTGGGAGCCACTCTTGCCATGCCTGTGCCTTCTCCATGGTGCCAGCTTCCATAGGCTGGCTTCTGGTGCTGGTTTGAGGAGTATCAACCCCTCCCTATGTGGATGGAGCCTGGTGGTGGCATCATCATCCCACCCTTGCTGATCTCGGTGTAGCCAACCTTCTCTTTGTTTGGTTTCTTTAATTAATTAATTAATTTTGGAGTCAGAGTCTCACTCCTTCACCCAGGCTGGAGTGAAGTGGTGTGGTCTAGGCTCACTGCAACCTCTGTCTCCTGGGTTCAAGTGATTCTCCTGCCCTCAGCCTCCTGAGTTGCTAGGATTACATGCACCTGCCACCACGCCCGGCTATCCTTGTGTCCTTTCTTATCTTGTCCTTGACCTGGGTTCCAGTGTTGGTTTCCTGTTGGTGCTGTGGAAAATTATCAGAAGCATGGCAGCAGGAGAGAGCACACTGACCCCTTCCGTTTCTGGAGACAGAAATCGGACCCTGTTTTTTGAGGGCTAAAATCAAGGCATCTGCAGGGCTGCGTTCCCTCTGGAGACCCAGGAGAATCAGTTCCTTGACTTTTCCAGCCTCTATAGGCCACCTGCATTCATGGCTCATGGCCTTCCTCCACCTTCAAAGCTGATGGAGACTTCCATTGCACTGCTCTAATCGCCACTCCCCTCTTCCTTCTCCTCTCATGTGCACCCTTGTGATTACACTGAGCCCAGCAGGACAGTCCAGGCTGTCTCCCCATCTCAAGGTCAACTCAACAACCTGAGCTCCATCTTCCCCTTCAGTGCCTTCCCCTATAACATAAATAGTCACAGACTGCAGGGATTAGAATGCAGTCATCATTGGGGACAATTATTCTTTCCACCACAGCACCCATTTCCCTGTATTCAATCCCCTTTTACCCCAAATACAGTTAGGGTCTGGATGATGGGACGCTGGTGGACACTCCCACCAGAAGCTCTGGGACTCAGGAGGTGGGACAAGGAGAATCCCAGACAGGAGCCCTCTGACCTGTGACCATGATCACCAGGGGGTTGCTGGGTGCTGACCACCCAGTGAGGAAGTGTGGGTGTGAACCCCGACATCTGTAGGTCCCTGCATGTGCTGGGGTCACAGGGCCTATGAAAACGGTGTTTCGGAATACTCTGTTGTAGAGCTCAGGGACAGGCATCCCGTCTTCTTTGGACAGACTGAATTCGTTAAACCCAAGACGAGAGCGACACTGAAGAGCCACATGTTCTCCTTCAGACACCACAGGGCTGGGCCAGGCAGAGAGGAAGGGCTTGTCCTGACCACCTGGGGGAGAAGGAGGCGCCACCTTAGAGAGGAGGATGTGGCACTCCCTCCCTCTATTCCTTTCCAGGACTCACCAACACACGCCATGCTGACGACCATGAGCGACATGGTGCTGCCGGTGCAGACAGGCGGCCGCGCCCCAGCTCAGCTCAGCAGCGCACAGGATGTTATTTGGCGCCCTGCCCATGCAGCTTACATGTTGACTACATCATGGGAGGGTGACGTACGCAGGCTCTTTCTACCTTGCATGAGGCCCAGTGGATGCTTGCTCAAGAGCGGAACACGGCTTCCTGGAAATTGTTCTCACTAGAATTGGCACCTCACGTCCTTCACTATGACCAACTCACAACACGTCTCAGATCCAACCTCCCGAACACAAGATGCCTAAAATCTGTGCTAACGTGAAAGACTTTTCATGTATTTTTATCCGAACACGAGATGCCTAAAATCTGTGCTAACATGAAAGACTTTTCATGTATTTTTTTTGTTTTTATCTGAGATTCAAACTCTTCTTCCTGTGTAATATGCAAAGTATCTAATAGGTATTATTAATGTTTTCGGAGTCATTGTGACTAATAAACCATTAGAATTTTTCATGCTTGTATTTCTAGTATTACAGCAGAACCAGCTAAAATGATTTAAATTCCCAGGGAAGGATTATGCAATTATTTACAATCTTAGAATTGTACTTTATCAGCAAAAACCACACCTGTAAATTCTGGAGTTTTGTAGTTTAATCTAAAATTTGTCTCATGACCCAAGATTCCAGAGTCCCAACTCTGGAGTTTGCTCTCTGTCTGTCTCTCTCCCTCCCTCGTTTTAAATTTTACAGAAATATCCAGTAACATAATGCTATAGAAAACCAAGTTTTCCCCAGCACGTTGGGAAGCCGAGGTGGGCGGATCAACTGAGATAAGGAGTTTGAGAGCAGCCTGGCCAATATAGTGAAACCGTGTCTCTGTTAAAAATCCAAAAATTAGCCGTGCCTGGTGGCAGGCACCTGTAACGCCAGCTACTCAAGAGGCTGAGGCATGAGAATCGCTTGAACCTGGGAGGCGGAGGTTGCAGTGAGCTGAGATTGTGCCACTGCAGTCCAGCCTGGGCGACAGAGCAAGACTCCGCCTCAAGAAAAAAAAAGCAAACAGCCTATAATAACAAATTAGAGGGCTCTGGCTACTAAATTTAAAGGGTTCTATAAGGCTACATAAAGTGCAGCATCATCAAGAGTGTGGACACAGAGAGCCCCTTAGCAGAAACAGTGTCTAAAATACATCCATGTACACACAGTCCCTTTAGAGTTGACAAAGGCTGCCGTGTGGTTTAAGGTGGCATAGAATGTCTTCTCAATAAATAATATTAAACCAATTGGTTACACCTAGGAAAAAATAAATCTAACTCACACTATAAAAACACTTCTTAGTTTTTATCTAGTTGTACATTTTTTATGATTTATATTTAAATTTGAGAAATAAAAGTCATATACGGTCATCCTTCACTATTCGTGGGTGATTGGTTTTGAGATCTCCACTCAGATACCAAAATCTGTAGATGCTCAAGCCTCTTATATGAAATGGCACAGCGTTTGCAAATAACCTATGCACATCCTCCTGTATACATGAAATCATCTCTAGATTACTTATAATTCCTGATACAGCCTACACACAGCTTCATTTGTGTCCATTCAACATAGTTATGCTTTTTGAAACTCTGTGGATACTTTCTCTCAATATTTTTGATTTATACTTGGTTCAATAAACACCTGTAAACCCCGCAGATATGGAGGAGTGACCGTATATTTATATTATGAAAGATGATGTGTTGATATGTGTCCCCATGGAGATGAGACTAACAAGGCCTATGATTCTACAAATGTTTCATTGTGGAATGACTCTGCCAGCTTTCCAGGTCTGCAGAGAGTAAGAGTATCACTTGTTCATATGATTCGTGATCCTTGGAACCTCCTATGTGCTACATCTTTGGATGGAAATTGGAGTCCCAGAGACAAATGAGGCTCCACCCTGCTTCCAGAAACTCAGAGTCCGGGGATGAGAACTCAGTGGGGAACAGATGGGATTATATGGACATGGTACTGATAACACCGGAAGCCTTAGGCAAGAAAAGAGTC
This sequence comes from Homo sapiens, assembly GCF_000001405.40. Lineage (NCBI taxonomy): Eukaryota > Metazoa > Chordata > Mammalia > Primates > Hominidae > Homo > Homo sapiens. The sequence continues at coordinate 58,513 of NT_187683.1, read as the reverse complement.
CCATTACCGAAACCATGGGGGCAGACATGTTTATTTGAAGGATGGAAAACTACATTGAAGTTATTTTAAAAAATATATAAGTTTTACTGCTGACAGAAGACTGAAAGCTAGTCTGAGGGGAGGTGGAACAGCATGAGGGAAGGTGGAACAACACGTGTCTAAGTGCTGCGTTAAGAGGGAGCCTCTTGTATGTTTGGAATTGTGAGTTCCTCAGTGTGATTGCAGCCTCAAGTAGACTAGGAAGTAAGCCAGTTAGGTTGGAGAGGTGGGCAGGGGTCAAGTGAAATGGAGAACTGTGGGCTAAGCAAAGGAGTGTGTTTTTTCTCCAGCAGGCAGTGGGGACCTTAGACATTTGTAAGCAAGTGAGAGGCACATTCAGATTTGTGGTGTGAGGAAGATCGATGCCCTAAGATGCAGACTCATGCCTTCAGATTCCAGCTGCTGGTACATGGGAGCTGGCAACCCGGTTTTGAGACAGGGCTGTTGTCTCCCTAGAAGACGCCCTCAAGGCCTGACTGTGGTGCTCATGGGCAGGAGACAACTTTGGATCTGGACTCAGCATTTGGAAGTTCCGTGTACACGATGATATCTGTTGGGGGTGTCTTGGGCCTCTGAGAAGGGCGAGTGATTTTTCTCTGTGTGAAAACGCAGTGATTCAACTGTGTGTATGTCACCTCCTGAGGGTCTTGTTCATCAGAGTCCTGGAGAGAGGGAAATGCTGAGTGAGGGAGGGTGCTCACATTTTCCAGGACTCTTTGGGAATAACAGTAGCCACGAGCCCGGGCCGAGGAGTACCTACCTCGCTATTCGCTGTTCTGTTTCCTGCAGACTCTTGGTCCATTACCGCAGCATCTGTAGAAGACGGAAGTCAACAAAACAGCTCGGAGGGCACTTCTGGGTCCTCATTTCATAAGCAGATACCAACATACAGGGGGAGACCATAGGTGGCTGAGGTCCCTCAGTTGCCAACAGCAGACTCAGACATTCTATCTCTCTGAGCTCAAGGACCCATCCCATGAATAGCTCTGAGTTCCCATCCCATTGATTCTGTCTCCCACTTTCTGCCTGTCATGGAACCTTCTCCTGGATGTGAGTGGCTGCAGGGGACATGAGGATACAGTTCAGAATCAGGCAACGGTCTGTGAGTTGAAGGCAGGGACAGGGAGTCTGGTGCCCTCTCTAGAAAGTCCTGCCTCTGTGGCTGCTGCCTTGGGCCAGGGACCATCCTGTTTGTGAGGAACACACACCTGAGTGCTCCCATCCTGCTTCCCCACATGGCCCTGAGCTCTCTGGCCTCTGCTTCGTGAGACTTACTTTTCTTGTTGGAGCACCAGCGATGAAGGAGAAAGAAGAGGAGGATGAAGAGGATGATGACCACTGAGGTCCCAATCAGAATGTGCAGGTGTCGGGGGTTACCTGGAAGAAGATGAGACACCAATAAGAAGCTAATCTTAGCAGTTCCTCTTTATGAATTGTCTCGCATTTCTTGATTGACAGGTAACCACATAAAACACCTCTTTAGGACAAGCACCCAGATGGCAGGAGACCCAGCTTTCTCCTGCTTTTTCAGTTATAGCTCTCATAGTAACCATAGAACGTGCTGAGGATACGACTACTTTAGTTGAGATGTTTGACCCCTTCAAACCTCACATTGAAATTTCACCCCCACTGTGGGAGGTTGGGCCTCTTGAGAGGTGTTTGGGTCATGGAGGTGGATCCATCATGAACACATCAATGCTGTCCCAAGGAGACGGGGTTAGCAAGTTCCCCCTCTATTAGTTCCCGGAGAGCTGGTTGTTAAAAAGAGCTTGGAAGCTCCATCGCTCCCCCTCCCCCTTGCTCCCTCTCTTGCCGTGTGATCTCTGTGGTCTCTGCACAGACAGACCCTCCTTCCCTTCTGCCAGAGTGGGAGCAGCCTGAGGCCGTCACGAGAAATAGATGCTGGTGCCATGCTTCCAGTACAGCCTGCAGAACGGTGAGGCAAACCAATCTCTTTTCTTTAGAAGTTACCGAGGCTCAAGTGTTCCTTTAGAGCAACAAAAATGGCCTAAGACAGCAACTTCCTGAGATCAGGAGGAACGTCTCAGAACACCCTGGGCTGTCTTCCTGTTCTTCCTGGAGGACGTCATGCAGTGCTTTAGCTGAGTGCTTCCTGTGGCTCCAGGGTACAAAACCCAGGCTGGGCTGCTTTCTGGCTTCCCGCAGCTACACTGCAAATGGGGTGACTCCATATGTCCCGAGGAGCTTTTCTGAGCCTTGAGGGACTGGGTCACATTGAAATATAGGTTTCTGTTGTCACTCGCTGCTTATCTGTTAGTAATGAACCTGCCTATGTAACGTATTCTCTGTGTGTTCTGTCTCCCTGGAGTGACGGTGAGTGATAGGAATTGGCATAGGCCCAGGTGCAGTCCAGGAGGTGTTTAGAGTCTTCTCTGGGAAGACTGGACTGGGATTGATTCACAGCGAATGTGCTTTAGGGTTTCTACATCCACAGCATTCTTGAATCAAACAACTTGCATTCTCCAAGGAAAGAAAACAAAAGTGAAATCAAGATAAAAAAAGCGAAATAGAATTCTCTTATGTCAAACGGCCAGGAAATAGTGTTGAAGCCCGTGTGAAACCTGCTGCTCTTTGTGATCTCGGGAGACACATATTAGGCTGCTGTTCTACCCGAGAGGCTGGGGGAAGGACCACCCCCTCGGCCATCTATTGCTTCAAAACCACCTGTCCTCCTGTGAATTAGTAGGAAAGGGGAGCAGGAGCTAGTGCTGTCGCTGATCTCTGATTCCAAGATCTGGACTCACTCCAAGGAGTGTTAATGTTTACCTCCCCATGGTCTATCTGAATCTCCACAGGTGATTGGAAGTAGGGGTGAGGTGGGGGATTTGGGTGAGTGGGCAAGTTTTTTTTGTGATGACCAGAGCACTTTCTCTATTCCAGGATCTGTGCTGGAGGATTCAGCGGGCTTTCACATTTTCTATATGATCTCATGCTCACAGAAAGCCAAATAGGGAAGAGGTTTTAGGCTCATTGCCTAATGGATAAGATAAAGGATCAAAGAAGTAATTATAGAGAAATAGAAAAATCATGATTGGAATTCAGGTGCCTTTGTCATTCGTGTGTGTTTTATTATATTTATGTATTTCTTATTTTTATTTTTTGAGATAGAGTCTCCTTGTGTCCCCCAGGCTGGAGTGCAGTGATGCAATCTCCACTCACTGCAACCTCCACCTACTGGGTTGAAGTCATTCTCCTGCTTCATCCTCCAGAATAGGAGCTGGGATTACAGGGATGCACCATCGTGCTCGGCTAATTTTTGTATTTTTAGTAGAGATAGGGTTTCACCACGTTGGCCAGGCTGGTCTGGAACTCCTGACTTCATGGAATCCACCCACCTTGGCCTCCTGCAGTGCTAGGTTACAGGCGTGAGCCACTGTTCACAGACTTGTATATTATGCTATAATAAGTCTCTTCATTTCCACCACCACTCATATATCTGTCACTCCTTTGCCAGGTATTGATTTATGTGTAGGATGAATAAATCTCAGAAAGAAATTAATTAAGCGAGGATTAAACAAGTAGGAAAATCAAACCCAGTAAGCCTTTCCAGTCAATGATTCTACCTCACAAACATATCTTATATCCATCTACTTCATTCATTTAGTGTCTAAATCAGCACCACATTTCACCAGTGGGGCGGCAATTGCCTTTTCCACGGTCTCCTAGATTCCAGTTATGCACCTGGGCCTCCCTTATTTTCATGTCAGTCATATTAATCATGTAGGGATTCCTGGTTACCCCGAGGTGAATCCAATGGCTGTGAGTGTCAAACACACACTCCTTGTTCCTCCTTAGTTTCCTGTGTACCCAGTGTGCTCTCCGTCTCTCTACAGTCGTCTTGTCATTCTCCCCACCTCATTCCCAGCATTTGAGTCAGAGCCTCTTCCTTCCACATCAGATTGTTTTCACCTTTGTGCCTTCATGGCTGACAGCTGTGTGTGCAAAATCCTTCCGCCAATCTTTCAGGGGTTCATTCCGTGTTTTTCATTAATGTCACAAATATCTGAATAGTGAGACCTTCTTTGTCACCTGAAATCATACACTCAGCATTATCTATTATTGATTTTGAATTCTGGCTGGGCACAGTGGCTCACGCCTGTAGTCCCATTACTTTGGCATGCTGAGACGGTCGGATCACTTGAGGTTGGGAGTTTCAGACAAGCTTGGCCAACGTGGTGAAACATCCTCTCTACAAAAAATATACAAAAAGAATTAGCCGGGCACGGTGGCAGTTGCCTGTAATCCCAGCTACTCGAGAGGCGGAGGCAGGAGAATCACTTGAATCCAGGAGACGCAGGTTGCAGTGAGCCAAGATCGTGACACTGCACTGTAGCCTGGAAGACAGAGGGCGACTCTGTCTCAATAAACAAAAGAACAAACAAAAAATAGATTTCATGCACAGATGCTTCCCAATGGACCATTCATTTATAGATCCACTTGTGCGTTCATTTTCTGCCCTCCCATTTAACCATCTGCAATATCAGTGTCCCAAGGGCAGAGGCCAAATGCATCTTGTTCACTGTTTGTGGAAGGCAGGAGAATGCTGTCCCACCCCAAAATGTCCCTGTCCTAGCCTCCACAGCTTGTGAATATGTTATTTTACATGGAAAGGAGGAATGAAGATTGCAGATGGAATTATGGTTGCTAATCAGCTGAACTTAAAACAAGGGTATCCTGGATGATTTCCAGGAGATTATGAGGGATTTTCATCTTGGTGAACCCAATAGAATCCCCAAGTTTTCAAAAGATGAGGAAGAAGGGAGAGCAGCACTCAGAGAAAGAGGTGTGGTAAGGAAGAAGGCACTGAGTGATGCCATGTGAGATGTGACCAGTCTTTGTGGGCTTTGAGGAAGGAGGAAGGGGACCAGGAGCCAAGGAACTGGGAGCCTTTAGAAGCTGGGACAAGTGAGAAGCAGATTCGTGCCTGGAATCCTCAGAGGGAAGGCAGCCTTGCTGTCACCTTGATTTTAGCCCAGTAAGATGCACTTCCTACTTTGAGCTACAGCACTGTAAGATAATTAAAAAACCGTTTTGTTTTCACCCACGAATCTTGTGGAAATTTGTTATGGCAACAATAGGAAAAGGTTCCACACTGCACAGCCTGAGCATGGGGCCGTGGCTGAATGAGTCAGTGAGTCGAAGTGTGCGTGCATGAGCTCTGTTCTCTGTTACGGCAAGGCTCTTTCTCTGCGGAGTCAGCCAGGGTTGCTTCATGACCTACAGGAGCTCATTCCTTGGCAAGTGGAACTTCTCTAAAACACCTTGCCCTCATCAGATGTTCCCTTCCCTTCCCTCTCTCAAGTCTCCAGGAATTTATCCTCCAGTTAGGAATGCAGGTAGAACAAACATTGCATTTTTCCTGAGAAGGATGTCAGATTGGCAATCATTCTTCTAGCTTGTAGGAGGTCTCAGCTCCATAAAATGAGAGATGAAGAGATTTCACTGAGCCCTGTGTTGGGCCCAGATCCCTTTCGCTGTAGGAGTATCTGGAGTTCGGAGATGGTGGAAGACAAGTGTACAATGTCAGAGCTGTGAGATGCTGAGTCAACGCCTGAATCCAAGGTTCCCACCTCCCCAGGGTTCCAAAAGCGGATATAAGAGGGTTCTGTACTCACCGGTTTTGGAGCTTGGTTCAGTGGGTGAAGGCCAACTATTTGAAGGGTTTCCTAGAACATGAGACAGGAGAGAGGTGAGGAAATGAGGGTGTCTGTCCTCCACTCAGTGGAAATCTTTGAGGATGGTTCATGGCCAACACTCTCTTATCTAATATTGGGCCCTGGGAGTCCTGGGATCCTTTTTTCCATAATTTTTTTATATGACACCCACTGTCTTGAGACTTCAAGATATAAAGAGAAAACAGGAGCATCACACTACCTGATCTCAAAATATGTTACAGAGCTGTAGTAAGCAAAATAGCATGACATTGGCATAAAGAAAGGCACATAGAACAACGGAGCAGAATGAATAACACAGATATATTCCATGCATTTACATCCAATGGTTTTTTATTTTTTCTTTTGAGATGGAGTCTTGCTCTGTCACTCAGGCTGGAGTGCAGAGGTGCAATCTCGGTTCACTGCAACCTCAGCCTCCTGGGTTCAATCATTCTCTTGCCTCAAATTCCTGAGTAGTGGTATTACAGGTGCTGACCACCATGCTCAGCTAATTTTTATATTTTTAGTGGAGACGATGTTTCATCACGTTGGCCAGACTAATCTTGAACTCCTGGCCTCAGGTGATCCACCCACCTCGGGCTCCCAAAGTGCTGAAATTGCAGGTGTTAGCCACCAAGCCCAGCCCATCCAATGGACTTTGACAAAGATGCCAAGAACTCACAATCAGGAAAGGACAGTCTTTTCAATAAACAGTGCAGGGAAACCTGGACATCTACATGCAGAGGAATGAAACTGCAACTCTACCTGTCACCATACACAAAAATCAAATGAAAATGGATTAAAGATGTGAGTCTAAGGCCTGAACCTATGAAACACGTAGAACAAAATATTGGGGAAATGCTCCAGGACGTTTGTCTGAAGGAAGACATTTTGTTTTAAACCTTCAAAACACAAGTAATCGAAGCAAAAACAGACCATTGGGATTACCTCAAACTAAGCAACTTCAGCACTGCTAAAAATAAACCAACAAAGTGAAGAGACAACCCACAGATTGGGAGCAAATATGTGCAAACTATGCATCTGAGATGGGATTAATAACTAGAAATATAAGAAGCTCAAACAACTCAATAAAACAAATGATTTAATTGAAAAAGGAGCAAAAGACATGAAATTTCCCCACATACGAAAAAGTGCTCAGTATCACTCATCATCAGAGAAACGCAAATTAAAATCAAAGTGAGTTTTCATCTCACCCCATTAAAATGGCTTTTAGGCCGGGTGAGGTGGCTCACTTGTGTCATCCTAGAACTTTGAGAACCTGAGGTGGGTGAATCTCATAAGGTTGGGAGTTTGAGACCAGTCTGACCCACATAGAGAAACGCTGTCTCTACTAAAAATACAAAAATTAGTAGGGCGTGGTGGCGTGTGCCTGTAATTCCAGCTACTCGGGAGGCTGAGGCAGGAGAATCGCTTGAACCTGGGAGGTGGAGGTTGTGGTGAGCCGAGATAGCGCCACTGCACTCCAGCCTGGGTGAGAAGAGCAAAACTCCATCTCAAAATAAAATGAAATAAAATAAAATGGCTTTTAGCTGCAAGACAGGCAAAAGAAATGCTGGCAAGGTGGTAGAGAAAGGAGAACCCTGGTACCCTGTTGGTAGGAGTGTAAATTAGTACAGCCATTACGGAGAAAAGTATGGAAGTCCTTTAAAGAACTAAAAAGAGGTTGGGTGAGGTGGATCATGCCTGTAATCCCGGCACTTTGGGAGACTGAGGCGGGCACCTCAGTTGAGGTCATGAGTTTGAGAGCAGCCCAGCCAACATGGGGAAACCGCATCTATACTAAAAAAACCAAAAAGTAGCCAGGCATGGTGGTGTGCACCTGTAATCCCAGCTACTAGGGAGGCTGAGGCAGGAAAATCATTTGAACCCAGGAGGCGGAGGTTGCAATGAGCCAAGGTTGCACCACTTTGACTCCAGCTTGGGCTAAGGAGGGAAACTCTTTCTCAAAAAAGAAAAAAAAAAAAAAAAGAGAACTTTCATAGTATCCAGCAATTTCACTACTGGGTTTATATCCAAAGGAAAGTAAATCAACATATCGAAGTGATATCTGCACTCGTATGATTGGTGCAGCACTGTTCACAGTAGCCAAGATGAGGAGTCAACCTACCTGCCCATCAGTGGGTGAATGGATAGAGAGAATGTAGTACATACGCACAGTGGAGACTACTCATCCATAGAAAGAATAACATCCTGTCATTTGCAGCCACATGGATGGAACTGGAGGTCATTAAAAAGATTCCCATTTCTCACCCATATACAGGAGCTAAAAGGTGGATCTCATGAAGGTAGAGAGTAGAATGGTGGCTACTGGAGGACAGGAAGAAAAGGGTGGAGGGTAAAAAAAATGTATATATATATATATATAAAAATGTATTTATGACCACTAGACTTTACACTTAAAAATGGTAAATGTGGCTGGGCCTGGTGGCCCATGCCTGTAATCCCAGCACTTTGGGAGGCTGATGCGGGTGGATCACGTGGTCAGGAGTTCGAGACCAGCTCGACCAACATGGTGAAACCACCTCTCTACTAAAAATACAAAAAGTAGCCTGGCGTGGTGGTGCGTGCCTGTAGCACTAGCTACTCAGGTGGCTGAGGCAGGAGAATCGCTTGAACCCAGGAGGCGGAGGTTGCAGTGAGCTGAGATTGTGCCACTGCACTCCATCATAGGGGACAGAGCTAGACTCCACCTCAAAAAAAAATGTTAAAAGTGGTAAGCTATATAGGTATATTTATCCTCAATAAATATTTCTTCAAAGAAAAGTAAAGGGTGTAGGGGTTGCTGGTGATGACATCTCTGTGTGGGTGAGAGGCCAGGATGGGCTTCTGGGAAATGGGTAAGGTTGAGGGGCTGAGGGAACCTCTGATCTCCCCAAACTGAGCCCAGTCTCCCTCCTCTGGGTCTCTCCTGACCGCTTTCTCCATCTGCCTGGGTGCCTGGAGCCCTGGCCGTGGGCCTCCATGCAGGCCATGTAGGAGGGTTTGGAGGTGCCCTGTCTGCCATCCTGTGCCCTGATCCCTCCCTCACACCGAGGCTGCGTCTTCTCTCTGCATCTGTCCATGCTTCTCTCCATCCTCAGCAGGAAGCTCCTCAGCTAAGGCTCTAGGATCATAGGACATGGGACAGCCATGGGCTTTCCTCACCTGTGACAGAAACAAGCAGTGGGTCACTTGACTTTGACCACTCGTATGGAGAGTCATGGAAAGAGCCGAAGCATCTGTAGGTCCCTCCGTGGGTGGCAGGGCCCAGAGGAAAGTCAGCCTGGAATGTTCCGTTGACCTTGGGCCCTGCAGGGAGCCTACGTTCATGGGCCTCCCCTTCCCTGGATAGATGGTACATGTCATAGGAGCTCCGGGAGCTGCAGGACAAGGTCACATTCTCTCCTGCCAGAACCGTGGGGCCCAGCTGGGCTGAGAGAGAAGGTTTCTCATATAGACCTGGAAGGAGAAGAGGCAGTTTCCTCAGGGAGGATCTTCTTTGTCACAGCTCCCTTCACCTGAGCTGAGAACTCACTCCCCTGTTCTATGACCTAATGCTCTCTCTCTCTCTCTCTCTCACCCTCTACCCCATCGCTCTTCATGTCTATTTCCTCCTTCCACCTTCTCTGTCTCTCTAGGTCTCTGACCTCACTTCCCCACCTCTAGATATGTTTTCTCTTTTTGGATTGTTTTATTCTCTCTGACTCTCCTTGGATTGGTTGACTTGATGTTACTTTTTTTAATTCTGAGTTTCTCACTTTGTGTCCTGTTCATAACTTTCTGCATATTTCTATCTATTATCTATCGATCTATCTATTTATCTATTCGGTGCCTATCTACAAATTCTCTACCTGTCATCTATATCTATATATCATCTATTTATCCATCAATTGTCTATCTATCCATCAATCATCTATTATCTATATCTATGTATCATCTCTCTCTCTCTATGATTTCTCTATGTCTGCCTCTGTATCTCTATGTATTATCTATCTATCTGTCTTCATCATCATCATCTCTATGTCTCATCTATTAATGAATCAATCAATCATCATCTATGTATCTATAACCTATTATCTATCATCTACCTATTTATCATCTATCTATATCTATCCATCTATCATCTGTCTTGCTCTGCCTCTCGGTCTCTCTAGTTCTCTTTGGAATCTCTGCAATTCATCCCCACATCTCCATCTTTCAATGTCCTTGTGCCTCTCCCTCAGGAGTCTAATTTTAGTGCTTTTCTCTGCTCCCTTCCATCATTCTCACTTCTCTGCCCTCTTTTCTCTCTCTTTATGTGTCTGTGAGTCTCTCAATCTCCTTCCTCTGGCTCATTCTCTGTGTGTTTATGTCTTTGCTTTTTGGTGTCCCTGATTTCTCTCTGTGCCTCTCACTGATCCTCTCATAAGTGGGCTTATTTGGAATATGAGCCTCAGAATCCAGTCTGGAGACTACAAGTTCACACAGCATACAGGGGTTGGTGTTGTGGGGCCATGATATCCTGGGACGATTACTCTCCATTACATGGAAGGCAGAGGTGTCAGAATAAACATGGCATCTGTAGGTGCCACAAGGCCTGAGGCCACAGGGCCCAACTCAGGTCAGAAATATGGGTGTCCTTGGGTTCTCCTGGTAGAGAACACTTTGTGGAGGTAAAACAGAAATGAAACTTCTAACCTGTGCCAGGTCTCTGAGCAAAGTCAGCATGGAGGGACACCTCTCTCTGGGACATGTCTGTCTGTGTGTCTCCTTTAACTCTTTCTGTCTTTTCTAACTCCCGGTATGGCCCCTGTGTCTGTTCTCTGTTATGACACCTGGTCTCTACTTGTGTCTCCTGTTTCTCTGTCTCTGTTGGCACAGACCTCACCAAGTCAGTCTCTCTCCATAAGAATACCAAGCTCATCTTCCTTACAGCCACCTGGGTCTCCAATTCCTGGATCATTCACTCTGCATCCCAATGACAATGAGAAGAAAGTCTGGACACTCTCACCTATGATCACGATGTCCAGAGGGTCACTGGGAGCTGACACCTGATAGGGGGAGTGAGTAACAGAACCGTAGCATCTGTAGGTCCCTGCCAGGTCTTGCGTCATGCGACTGATGGAGAAGTTGGCCTTGGAGACCCCATCATGGTGTTCTCCAATGAGGCGCAAAGTGTCGTTAAACATCCCCTCTCTGTGCAGAAGGAAGTGTTCAAACATGACATCTGACCAACATTGCAGGATGACTGTCTCTTCTGATTTCACCAGGCGACCTGGGTGGGCCAGGAGGGAAGGTTTTCTGTGGACTCCTAGGAAGAGAGGTTGTGAGTTTAGAAGGTGTCTCTCTTTATCATCCCATCCATGGCACCTGGATTGAGTCAGGCTTCCCCTTCCTGGTGTCTTATCTCTCTCCTTCCTCTCTGTGTCTTCATGTTCTTTTCTGTGCCCATAACTCCTGGTGCAGGTCCTTCCATCTGTCTCCCTCACTCTTCTCTGTCCCTCTGTCTCTAGTAGCCTCTGATTCCCTTGCCGCTGGGCTCAGCCTCATCTCTTGGGCTGTTGTATCTATTTCGAACTAATGTCTTTCCTGCTGTCTATGTGGGGGTGGAAGAGGAACCAGGATAGGCTGCACATCCAGGCTCTTAGCAGCCTGGTTCAATCTCTTTTGGACGAATTGGAATCCTTGGCAGGAGGTATGAACTGATCAGTAAGGCAGGCACCAGTGGCCACACACCCTGTTCCTGGTAGGGACTGGGAGCCACTCTTGCCATGCCAGTGCCAGCTTCCATAGGCTGGCTCCTGGTGCTGGTTGGAGGAGTATCAACCGCTCCCTATGTGGATGGAGCCTGGTGGTGGCATCATCATCCGAGCCTTGCTGATCTCAGTGTAGCCAACCTTCTCCTTGTTTGGTTTCTTTAATTAATTAATTAATTTTGGCGACAGAGTCTCACTCCTTTGCCCAGGCTGGAGTGAAGTGGTGTGGTCTAGGCTCACTGCAACCTCTGTCTCCTGGGTTCAAGTGATTCTCCTGCCCTCAGCCTCCCAAGTCGCTAGGATTACATGCACCTGCCACCATGCCTGGCTATCCTTGTGTTGTTTCTTAACTTGTCCTTGACCTGGGTTCCAGTGTTGGTTTCCTGTTGCTGCTGTAGAAAATTATCAGAAGCATGGCACCAGGAGAGAGCACACTAACCCCTTCCAATTCTGGAGACAGAAATCGGACCCTGTTTGTCGTGGGTAAAATCAAGGCACCTGCAGGGCTTCGTTCCCTCTGGAGACTCAGGAGAATCAGTTCCTTGACTTTTCCAGCCTCTATAGGCCACCTGCATTCATGGCTCCTGGACTTCCTCCACCTTCAAAGCTGATGGAGACTCCCATTATGCTGCTGTAATCCCCACTCCCCTCTTCCTCCTCCTTTCATGTGGACCCCTGTGACTACACTGAGCCCATCAGGACAGTCCAGGCTGTCTCCCCATCTCAAGGTCAACTCATCAACAACCTGAGCTCCATCTTCTCCTTCAGTCCCTTCCCCTATATCATAAATAGTCACAGACTCCAGGGATTAGAATGTAGTCATCACTGGGGACAATTATTCTTCCCACCACAGCACCCATTTCCCTGTATTCAATCCCCCTTTACCCCAAATACAGTCAGGACTTGCATGATGGGACCCGCAAGGACACGCCCACCAGGAGCTCTGGGATTCAGGAGGTGGGACAAGGAGAATCCCAGACAGGAGCCCTCTGACCTGTGACCGTGATCTCCAGGGGGTTGCTGGGTGCCGACCACCCACTGGGGTAGTGTGGTTGTGAACCCCGACATGTATAGGTCCCTGCGTGTGCTGGGGTCACAGGGCCCATGAAAAGGCTGTTCCAGAATATTATGTTGTAGAGCTCAGGGACAGGCACCCCATCTTCCTTTTACAGACTGAAGTTGTTAAACCCAAGATAAGAATGACACTGAAGAATCACATGTCCTGGAGGCACCACAGGGCTTGGCCAGGCAGACAGCAAGGGCTTGTCCTGACCACCGTGGGGAGAAGGAGGCACCGCCTTAGAGAGGAGGATGTGGAGCCGCCCCTCCCTCCCTGTGCTCTGAAGATTCTCCTCGCTTTCCAAGTTTCTATGGCTGCTATCACACCTTGGTGCCCAGGGCTAAAGGAAGGACCCATCCCGCAAACACAAGGTGTCTCCCTACAACAAAAGTGTCAGCTGAGAACTTTGAGCAAGTGCTGAGTAAGAGACTCCTACTAGATTTTAATACTGTAAGATTACTCACATAAAACAACACAGGGTAGACATGGGGTGGAGGGCATGTCCTTTGAGAATGGAATATCAGCCGATGCCTGAACGAAAATAAACAACTGAGTCCCCATCAGAGGATTGGAATGTCAGGGCCATGGCTGTGGTTTTCCCACCTCTTCTGGTAGAATGACAGCAGCCACACTGCAGCCCCTACCGTCATGGAAACGCTGAAGTGTGTGAGTAACACCTTTGTCCTCAGAGGATCTGCTGTTCCTACCACTTCCCCACCACACACCCCAGCTTTGAGCACCGTAGTCTAACCCTGGTCCCCACAGAACTTGACTCTGCCAAGGGAATGAAAGGCCAGGGAGGCAAGGTCAGAAATGTGGGCCCAGCACCCCAGGGTCCCTTCTTCCTAGTTTATGAGAGACTCCCTGACAGGACTTCCCTCCCATTTCAGGAAAATCCTCTTATGTGGGGAGATGACACCCGAAGGTTTGGAGAAGGACTCACCCTCATGTGGCCAGGCCCCCTGCAGCAAGAAGAACCCTGGAAAGAAAGATCATGATGGATGACCCATCTGCAGGCAAACCAGGGCACCCTTGCTGCCCCCACTGGGCTGTGAGTCTTGGTAGCCAGGCCCTTCCTGGGCTGAAGGTAAACTCACCCTCAGTGCCTACCTGCACCCAAGAACAGGGCTGTCGGCTGTGCAGAGACCCAGCCTCCAGGTCCATATCCCCACCTCAAGCCCATATCTCCACTCCAGGCCCATATCTCCACTCCAGGCCGATATTTCCACCCTAAGCCCATATCGCCAATCCAGGCCCATATCTCCAATCCAGGCTCAGATCTCCACCCTGGGCCCATATCTCCAATCCAGGCCCTTATCTCCACTCCAGGTCCATATCTCCTCTCCAGTCCCATATCTCCACTCCAGGCCCATATATCCTCTCCAGTCCCATATCTCCACACCCAGGCCCGTATCTCCATCCTAGGCACATATCTCCTCTCCAGGCCCAGATATCGACCTCTAGGCCCATATCTCCACTCCTGGCCCATATCTCCACTCCAGGCCCAGATATCGACCTCTAGGCCCATATCTCCACTCCTGGCCCATATCTCCACTCCAGGCCCATGTCTCCACTTCAGGCCCATATCTCTACTGCAGGCCCATAACTCCACCTCCAGGCCCATGACTCCACTCCAGGCCCATATCTCCACCTCCAGGCCCATATCTCCCCTCCAGGTTCCTATCTCCCCTCCAGGTTCCTATCTCCACTCCAGGCCCAGATCTCCACTACAGTCCCATCACTCCACCTCCAGGCCTATATCTCGACCTCTGGGCCCAGATCTCCACTTCTAGGCCCATCACTCCATCTCTAGGCCCATATATCCACTCCAGGCCCAGATCTCCACTCCAGGCCCATAACTCCACCTCCAGGCCTATATCTCCACCTCTGGGCCCAGATCTCCATCCCCTCACTCCCTCCCTCTATTGCTTTCCAGGACTCACCAACACACGCCATGCTGACGACCAAGAGCGACATGGTGCTGCCGGAGCAGACAGGCAGCCGCGACCGAGCTCAGCTCAGCAGCGCACAGGATGTTATTTGGCGCCCTGCCCATGCAGTTTACATGTTGACCACATCATGGGAGGGTGACGTACGCAGGCTCTTTCTACCTTGCATGAGGCCCAGTGGGTGCTCGCTCAAGAGCGGAACACGGCTTCCTGGAAATTGTTCTCGCTAGAATTTGACACCTAGTGTCCTTCACTATGACCAACTCAAAACACGTCTGAGATCCAACCTCCCGAACACGAGATGCCTAAAATCTGTGCTAACATGAAAGACTTTTCATGTATTTCTATTGTTTTTATCTGAGATTCAAACTCTTCTTCCTGTGTAATATGCAAAATATCTAATAGGTATTATTAATGTTTTCAGAGTCATTGTCACTAATAAACCATTAGAATTTTTCATGCTTGTATTTCTAGTATTACAGCAGAACCAGTTAAAATGATTTAAATTCCCAGGGAAGGATTATGCAATTATTTACAATCTTAGAATTGTACTTTATCAGTAAAAACCCCACCTGTAAATTCTGGAGTTTTGTAGTTTAATCTAAAATTTGTCTCATGACCCAAGATTCCAGAGTCCCAACTCTGGAGTTTGTTTTCCGTCTGTCTCTCTCCCTCCCTCATTTTAAATTTTACAGAAATATCCAGTAACATAATGCTATAGAAAATCAAGTTTCCCCAGCACGTTGGGAAGCCGAGGTGGGCGGATCAACTGAGATAAGGAGTTTGAGAGCAGCCTGGCCAATATAGTGAAACCGTGTCTCTGCTAAAAATCCAAAAATTAGCCGTGCCTGGTGGCAGGCACCTGTAACGCCAGCTACTCAAGAGGCTGAGGCATGAGAATCGCTTGAACCTGGGAGGCAGAAGTTGCAGTGAGCTGAGATTGTGTCACTGCAGTCCAGCCTGGGCGACAGAGCAAGACTCCGCCTCAAGAAAAAAAAGCAAATAGCCTATAATAACAAATTAGAGAGCTCTGGCTACTAAATTTAAAGGGTTCTATAAGGCTACATAAAGTGCAGCATCATCAAGAGTGTGGACACAGAGAGCCCCTTAGCAGAAACAGTGTCTAAAGTACATCCGTGTACACACAGTCCCTTTAGAGTTGACAAAGGCTGCCGTGTGGTTTAAGGTGGCATAGAATGTCTTCTCAATAAATAATATTAAACCAATGGGTTATACCTAGGAAAAAATAAATCTAACTCACACTATAAAAACACTTCTTAGTTTTTATCTAGTTGTACATTTTTTATGATTTATATTTAAATTTGAGAAATAAAAGTCATATACGGTCATCCTTCACTATTCCTGGGTGATTGGTTTCGAGATCTCCACTCAGATACCAAAATCTGTAGATGCTCAAGCCTCTTATATGAAATGGCACAGAGTTTGCAAATAACCTATGCACATCCTCCTGTATACATGAAATCATCTCTAGATTACTTATAATTCCTGATGCAGCCTACACACAGCTTCATTTGTGTCCATTCAACACAGTTCTGCTTTTTGTAACTCTGTGGATACTTTCTCTGAATATTTTTGATTTATACTCGGTTCAATAAAGAACTGTAAACCCCACAGATATGGAGGAGTGACTGTATATTTATAGTGTGAAAGATGATGTGTTGATATGTGTCCCTGTGTAGATGAGACTAACAAGGCCTATGATTCTACAAATGTTTCATCTTGGAATGACTCTGCCAGATTTCCAGGTCTGCAGAGAGTAAGAATATCACTTGTTCATGTGATTCACGATCCTTGGAACCTCCTATGTGCTACATCTTTGGATGGAAATAGGAGTCCCAGAGACAAATGAGGCTCCACCCTGCTTCCACAAACTCAGAGTCCGGGGGTGAGAACCCAGTGGAGAACAGATGGGGTTATGTGGACATGGTAATGATAACACCGGAAGCCTTAGGCAAGAAAAGAGTCCCATTACCGAAACCATGAGGGCAGACATGTTTATTTGAAGGAGGGAAAACTACATTGAAATTATTTTAAAAAATATATAAGTTTTACTGCTGACAGAAGGCTGAAAGATACTCTGAGGGGAGGTGGAACAGCATGAGGGAAGGTGGAACAGGACGTGTCTAAGTGCCGTGTTAAGAGGGAGCCTCTTGTATGTTTGGAACTGTGAGTTCCTCAGTGTGATTGCAGCCTCAAGTAGACTAGGAAGTAAGCCAGTAAGGTTGGAGAGGTGGGCAGGGGTCAAGTGAAATGGAGAATTGTGGGCTAAGCAAAGGAGTGTGTTTTCTCTCCAGCAGGCAGTGGGGACCTTAGACATTTGTAAGCAAGAGAGAGGCACATTCAGATTTGTGGTGTGAGGAAGAGCGATGCCCTAAGATGCAGACTCACGCCTTCAGATTCCAGCTGCTGGTACATGGGAGCTGGCAACCCGGTTTTGAGACAGGGCTGTTGTCTCCCTAGAAGATCCCCTCAAGGCCTGACTGTGGTGCTCATGGGCAGGAGACAACTTTGGATCTGGACTCAGCATTTGGAAGTTCCGTGTACACTCTGGTATCTGTTGGGGGTGTCTTGGGCCTCTGAGAAGGGCGAGTGATTTTTCTCTGTGTGAAAACGCAGTGATCCAACTGTACGTATGTCACCTCCTGAGGGTCTTGTTCATCAGAGTCCTGGAGAGAGGGAAATCCTGAGTGAGGGAGGGTGCTCACGTTTTCCAGGACTGTTTGGGAATAACACTAGCCACGAGGCTGGGCCGAGGAGCACCTACCTCGCTATTCGCTGTTCTGTTCCCTGCAGGCTCTTGGTCCATTACAGCAGCATGTGTAGGAGACGGAAGTCAACAAAAGAGCTCGGAGGGCACTTCTGGGTCCTCATTTCATAAGCAGATACCAACAAACAGGGGGAGGCCATAGGTGCCTGAGGTCCCTCAGTTGCCAACAGCAGACTCAGACATTCTATCTCTCTGAGCTCAAGGACCCATCCCATGAATAGCTCTGAGTTCCCATCCCATTGATTCTGTCTCCCACTTTCTGCCTGTCATGGAACCTTCTCCTGGATGTGAGTGGCTGCAGGGGACATGAGGATACAGTTCAGAATCAGGCAACGGTCTGTGAGCTGAAAGCAGGGACAGGGAGTCTGGTGCCCTCTCTAGAAAGTCCTGCCTCTGTGGCTGCTGCCTTGGGCCAGGGACCATCCTACCTGTGAGGAACACACACCTGAGTGCTCCCATCCTGCTTCCCCACATGGCCCTGAGCTCTCTGGCCTCTCCTTCGTGAGACTTACTTTTCTTGTTGGAGCACCAGCGATGAAGGAGAAAGAAGAGGAGGAGGATGAAGAGGATGATGACCACTGAGGTCCCAATCAGAACGTGCAGGTGTCTTGGGCTACCTGGAAGAAGATGAGACACCAATAAGAAGCTAATCATAGCAGTTCCTCTTTATGAATTGTCTCGCATTTCTTGATTGACAGGTAACCACGTAAAACACCTCTTTAGGACAAGCACCCAGATGGCGGGAGACCCAGCTTTCTCCTGCTTTCTCAGTTATAGCTCTCAAAGTAACCATAGAATGTGCTGAGGATACAACTACTTTAGTTGAGATGTTTGACCCCTTCAAACCTCACATTGAAATTTCACCCCCATTGTGGGAGGTTGGGCCTCTTGAGAGGTGTTTGGGTAATGGAGGTGGATCCATCATGAACAGATCAATGCTGTCCCAAGGAGACGGGGTTAGCTAGTTCCCCCTCTATTAGTTCCCAGAGAGCTGGTTGTTCAAAAGAACTTGGAAGCTCCATCGCTCCCCCTCCCCCTTGCTCCCTCTCTTGCCGTGTGATCTCTGTGGTCTCTGCACAGACAGACCCTCCTTCCCTTCTGCCAGAGTGGGAGCAGCCTGAGGCCATCACGAGAAATAGATGCTGGTGCCATGCTTCCAGTACAGCCTGCAGAACGGTGAGGCAAACCAATCTCTTTTCTTTAGAAGTTGCCCAGGCTCAAGTGTTCCTTTAGAGCAACAAAAATGGACTAAGACAGCAACGTCCTGAGATCAGGAGGAACGTCCCAGAGCAGCCTGGGCTGTCTTCCTGTTCTTCCTGGAGGAGGACGTCATGCAGTGCTTTAGCTGAGTGCTTCCTGTGGCTCCAGGGTACAAAACCCAGGCTGGGCTGCTTTCTGGCTTCCCCCAGCTACACTGCAAATGGGGTGACTCCATATGTCCCGAGCAGCTTTTCTGAGCCTTGAGGGACTGGCTCACATTGAAATGTAGGCTTCTGTTTTCACTCGCTGCTTATCTGTTAGTAATGAACCTGCCTATGTAACGTATTCTCTGTGTGTTCTGTCTCCCTGGAGTGACGGTGAGTGATAGGAATTGGCATAGGCCCAGGTGCAGTCTAGGAGGTGTTTAGGGTCTTTTCTGGGAAGACTGCACTGGGATTGACACACAGCGAATGTGCTTTAGGATTTCTACATCCACAGCATTCTTGAGTCAAACAACTTGCGTTCTCCAAGGAAAGGAAACAAAAGTGAAATCAAGATAAAAAAGCGAAATAGAGTTATCTTATGTCCAACAGCCAGGAAATCGTGTTGAAGCCCCTGTGAAACGTCCTACTCTTTGTGATCTCGGGAGACACATGTTAGGCTGCTGTTCTACCTGAGAGGCTGGGGGAAGGACCACCCCCTCCACCATCTATTGCTTCAATACCACCTGTCCTCCTGTGAATTAGTAGGAAAGGGGAGCAGGAGCTAGTGCTGGTGCTGATCTCTCATTCCAAGATCTGGACTCACTCCAAGGAGTATTAATGTTTACCTCCCCATGGTCTATCTGAATCTCCACAGGTGATTGGAAGTAGGGGTGAAGTGGGGGATTTGAGTGAGAGGGCAAGTTTTTTTTGTGATGAACAGAGCACTTTCTCTATTCCACGATCTGTGCTGGAGGATTCAGCGGGCTTTCACATTTTCTATATGGTCTCATGCTCACAGAAAGCCAAATAGGGAAGAGGTTTTAGGCTCATTGCCTAATGGATAAGACAAAGGATCAAAGAAGTAATTATAGAGAAATACAAAAATGATGATTGGAATTCAGGTGCCTTTGTCATTCGTGTGTGTTTTATTATATTTATGCATTTCTTATTTTTATTTTTTGAGACGGAGTCTCCTTGTGTCACCCAGGCTGGAGTGCAGTGATGCAATCTCCACTCACTGCAACCTCCACCTCCTGGGTTGAAGTTGTTCTCCTGCTTCATCCTCAAGAGTAGGAGCTGGGATTACAGGGATGCACCACCATGCTCGGCTAATTTTTGTATTTTTCATAGAGACAGGGTTTCACCATTTTGGCCAGGCTGGTCTGGAACTCCTGACTTCAAGTGATCCACCCGCCTTGGCCTCCTGCAGTGCTGGGAATTGCCTTTTCCACGGCCTGAGCATGGGGCCGTGGCTGAATGAGTCAGTGAGTCGAAGTGTACGTGCATGAGCTCCGTTCTCTGTTAAGGCAAAGCTCTTGCTCTGCTGAGTCAGCCAGGGTTGCTTCATGACCAACAGTAATTCATTCCTGGGCAAGTGGAACTTCTCTAAAACACCTCGCCCTCATCAAATGTTCCCTACCCTTCCCTCTCTCAAGCCCCCAGGAATTTATCCTCCAGTTAGGAATGCAGGCAGAACAAACATTGCATTTTTCCTGAGAAGGATGTCAGATTGCCAATCATTTTTCTAGCTTGTAGGAGATCTCAGCTCCATAAAATGAGAGATTAAGAGATTTCACAGAGCCCTGTTTTGGGTCCAGATCCCTTTCGCTGTTGGAGTATCTGGAGTTCGGAGATGGTAGAAGACAGGCGTACAATGTCAGAGCTGTGAGATGCTGAGTCAACGCCTGAATCCAAGGTTTCCACCTCCCCAGGTTTCCAAAAGCGGATATAAGAGGGTTCTGTACTCACCGGTTTTGGAGCTTGGTTCAGTGGGTGAAGGCCAACTATTTGAAGGGTTTCCTAGAACACGAGACAGGAGAGAGGTGAGGAAATGAGGGTGTCTGTCCTCTACTCAGTGGAAATCTTTGAGGTTGGTTCATGGCCAACACTCTGTTATCTAATATTGGGCCCTGGGAGTCCTGGGATCCTTTTTTCCGTAATTTTTGTATGTGACGGCTACTGTCTTGAGACTTCAAGGTATAAAGAGAAAACAGGAGCATCACACTACCTGATCTCAAAATATGTTACAGAGCTGTAGTAAGCAAGACAGCATGACGTTGGCATGAAGAAAGGCACATAGAACAACGGAGCAGAATGAATAACACAGATATAATCCATGCATTTACCTCCAATGTATTTTTTGTTTTTCTTTTGAGATGGAGTCTTGCTCTGTCACCCAGGCTGGAGTGCAGAGGTGCAATCTCGGTTCACTGCCACCACAGCCTCCTGGGTTCAATCACTTCTCTTGCCTCAAACTCCTGAGTAGTGGTATTACAGGTGCTGACCACCATGCTCAGTTAATTTTTATATTTTTAGTGGAGACGATGTTTCATCACGTTGGCCAGACTAATCTTGAACTCTTGGCCTCAGGTGATCCACCCACCTCGGGCTCCCAAAGTGCTGAAATTGCAGGTGTCAGCCACCATGCCCAGCCCATCCAATGGACTTTGACAAAGGTGCCAAGAACTCACAATCAGGAAAGGACAGTCTTTTCAATAAACAGTGCAGGGAAACCTGGACATCTATATGCAGAGGAATGAAACTGCACCTCTGCCTGTCACTATACACAAAAATCAAATGAAAATGGATTAAAGATGTGAGTCTAAGGCCTGAACCTATGAAACACGTAGAAGAAAATATTGGGGAAATGCTCCAGGACGTTTGTCTGAAGGAAGACATTTTGTTTTAAACCTTCAAAACACAAGTAATCGAAGCAAAAATAGACCATTGGGATTACCTCAAACTAAGCAACTTCTGCACCGCTAAAAATAAACCAACAAAGTGAAGAGACAACCCACAGATTGGGAGCAAATATGTGCAAACTATGCATCTGAGATGGGATTAATAACTAGAAATATAAGAAGCTCAAACAACTCAATAAAACAAATGATTTAATTGAAACAGGAGCAAAAGACATGAAATTTCCCCACATACGAAAAAGTGCTCAGTATCACTCATCATCAGAGAAACACAAATTAAAATCAAAGTGAGTTTTCATCTCACCCCATTAAAATGGCTTTTAGGCCGGGCGTGGTGGCTCACGTCTGTCATCCTAGAACTTTGAGAGCCTGAGGTGGGTGAATCTCATAAGGTCGGGAGTTTGAGACCAGTCTGACCCACATGGAGAAACACTGTCTCTACTAAAAATACAAAAATTAGTCGGGCGTGGTGGCGTGTGCCTGTAATTCCAGCTACTCGGGAGGCTGAGGCAGGAGAATCGCTTGAACCTGGGAGGTGGAGGTTGTGGTGAGCCGAGATCGCACCACTGCACTCAGCCTGGGTGACAAGAGCGAAACTCCATCTCAAAATAAAATGAAATAAAATAAAATGGCTTTTAGCTGCAAGACAGGCAAAAGAAATGCTGGCAAGGTGTTAGAGAAAGGAGAATCCTGGTATCCTGTTGGTAGGAGTGTAAATTAGTACAGCCATTACGGAGAAAAGTGTGGAAGTCCTTTAAAGAACTAAAAAGAGGTTGGGTGAGGTGGATCATGCCTGTAATCCCGGCACTTTGGGAGACCGAGGCGGGCACCTCAGTTGAGGTCATGAGTTTGAGAGCAGCCCAGCCAACATGGGGAAACCGCATCTATACTAAAAAAAACAAAAAGTAGCCAGGCATGGTGGCGTGCGCCTATAATCCCTGATACTAGGGAGGCTGAGGCAGGAAAATCATTTGAACCCAGGAGGCAGAGGTTGCAATGAGCCAAGATGACATCACTTGTACTCCAGCCTGGGCACAGAGGGAAACTGTCTCAAAAACAAAAACAAAACAACAAACGAAAAACTAAAAAGAGAACTTTCATAGTATCCAGCAATTTCACTACTGGGTTTATATCCAAAGGAAAGTAAATCAATATATCGAAGTGATATCTGCACTCGTATGATTGGTGCAGCACTGTTCACAGTAGCCAAGATGAGGAGTCAACCTACCTGCCCATCAGTGGGTGAATGGATAGAGAGAATGTGGTACATTTGCATAGTGGAGACTACTCTTCCATAGAAAGAAAAACATCCTGATATTTGCAGCCACATGGATGGAACTGGAGGTCATTACAAAGATTCCCATTTCTTACCCATATACAGGAGCTAAAAGGTGGATCTCATGAAGGTAGAGAGTAGAATGGTGGCTACCAGAGGCCAGGAAGAAAAGGGTGGAGGGTAAAAAAAATATGTGTATATATATATATATTAATGTATTTATGACCACTAGACTTTACACTTAAAAATGGTAAATGTGGCTGGGCGTGGTGGCTCATGCCTGTAATCCCAGCACTTTGGGAGGCTGATGCGGGTGGATCACGTGGTCAGGAGTTCGAGACCAGCTTGACCAACATGGTGAAACCCCCTCTCTACTAAAAATACAAAAAGTAGCCTGGCATGGTGGTGCGCGCCTGTAGCACCAGCTACTCAGGTGGCTGAGGCAAGAGAATCGCTTGAACCCAGGAGGCGGAAGTTGCAGTGAGCTGAGATTGTGCCAATGCACTCCAGCATAGGGGACAGAGCTAGACTCCGCCTCAAAAAAAAAATGTTAAAGGTGGTAAGCTATATAGGTATATTTATCCTCAATAAATATTTCTCAAACAAAAGTAAAGGGTGTAGGGGTTGCAGGTGATGACATCCCTGTGTGGGTGGGAGGCCAGGATGGGCTTCTGGGAAATGGGTAATGTTGAGGGGCTGAGGGAACCTCTGATCTTCCCAAACTGAGCCCAGTCTCCCTCCTCTGGGTCTCTCCTGACCGCTTTCTCCATCTGCCTGGGTGCCTGGAGTCCTGGCCGCAGGCCTTCATGCAGGCCATGTAGGAGGGTTTGGAGGTGCCCTGTCTGCCATCCTGTGCCCTGATCCCTCCCTCACACCCAAGCTTCGTCTTCTCTCTGCATCTGTTCATCCTTCTCTCCATCCTCAGCAGGAAGCTCCTCAGCTAAGGCTCTAGGATCATAGGACATGGGACAGCCATGGGCTTTCCTCACCTGTGACAGAAACAAGCAGTGGGTCACTCGAGTTTGACCACTCGTAGGGAGAGTCACGGAAAGAGCCGAAGCATCTGTAGGTTCCTCCGTGGGTGGCAGGGCCCAGAGGAAAGTCAGCCTGGAATGTTCTGTTGACCTTGGGCCCTGCAGAGAACCTACGTTCATGGGCCTCCCCCTCCCTGGATAGATGGTACATGTCATAGGAGCTCCGGGAGCTGCAGGACAAGGTCACGCTCTCTCCTGCCAGAACCGTGGGGCCCGGCTGGGCTGAGAGAGAAGGTTTCTCATATAGACCTGGAAGGAGAAGAGGCATTTTCCTTACGGAGGATCTTCCTTGTCACAGCTCCCTTCACCTGAGCTGAGAACTCACTCCCCTGCTCTATGACCTAATGCTCTCTCTCTCTCTCTCTCACCCTCCACCCCATCTCTCTTCATGTCTATTTCCTCCTTCCACCTTCTCTGTCTCTCTAGGTCTCTGACCTCGCTTCCACACCTCTAGATATGTTTTCCCTTTTTGGATTGTTTTATTCTCTCTGACTCTCCTTGGATTGGTTGACTTGATGTTACTTTTTTAAATTCTAAGTTTCTCACTTTGTGTCCTGTTCATAACTTTCTGCATATTTCTATCTATTATCTATCGATCTATCTATTTATCTATTCGGTGCCTATCTACAAATTCTCTAGCTGTCATCTATATCTATATATCATCTATGTATCTATCACTTGTCTATCTATCCATCAATCATCTGTTATCTATATCTATGTATCATCTCTCTCTCTATGACTTCTGTCTGCCTCTCTATCTCTATGTATTATCTATCTGTCTTCATCATCATCATCTCTATGTCTCATCTATTAATGAATCAATCAATCATCATCTATGTATCTTTAACCTATTATCTATCATCTACCTATTTATCATCTATCTATATCTATCCATCTATCATCTGTCTTGCTCTGCCTCTCGGTCTCTCTAGTTCTCTTTGGAATCTCTGCAATTCATCCCCACATCTCCATCTTTCTATGTCCTTGTGCCTCTCCCTCAGGAGTCTAATTTTAGTGCTTTTCTCTGCTCCCTTCCATCATTCTCACCACTCCTCTGCCCTCTTTTCTCTCTCTTTATGTGTCTGTGAGTCTCTCAATCTCCTTCCTCTGGCTCATTCTCTGTGTGTTTATGTCTTTGCTTTTTGGTGTCCCTGATTTCTCTCTGTGCCTCTCAGTGATCCTTTCATATGTGGGGTTATTTGGAATGTGAGCCTCAGAATCCAGTCTGGAGACCACAAGTTCACACAGCATACAGGAGTTGGTGTTCTGGGGCCATGATATCCTGGGACGGTTACTCTCCATTACATGGAAGGCAGAGGTGTCAGAATAAACACGGCATCTGTAGGTGCCACAAGGCCTGAGGCCACAGGGCCCAACTCAGGTCAGAAATATGGGTGTCCTTGGGTTCTCCTGGTAGAGAACACTTTGTGGAGGTAAAACAGAAATGAAACTTCTAACCTGTGCCAGGTCTCTGAGCAAAGTCAGCATGGAGGGACACCTCTCTCTGGGACATGTCTGTCTGTCTGTCTCCTTTAACTCCTTCTGTCTTTTCTAACTCCCGGTATGGCCCCTGTGTCTGTCCTCTGTTATGACACCTGGTCTGTACTTGTGTCTCCTGTTTCTCTGTCTCTGTTGGTACAGACCTCACCAAGTCAGTCTCTCTCCATAAGAATACCAAGCTCATCTTCCTTACAACTACCTGGGGGTTCCAAGTCGTGGATCATTCACTCTGCATCCCAATGACAATGAGAAGAATGTCCGGACACTCTCACCTGTGATGACGATGTCCAGAGGGTCACTGGGAGCTGACAACTGATGGGGGAGTGAGTAACAGAACCGTAGCATCTGTAGGTCCCTGCCAGGTCTTCCATCATGGGACCGATGGAGAAGTTGGCCTTGGAAACCCCATCATGGTGCTCTCCAGTGAGGTGCAAAGTGTCGTTAAACTTCCCTTCTCTGTGCAGAAGGAAGTGCTCAAACCTGACATCTGACCAACATTGCAGGATGACTGTCTCTTCTGATTTCACCAGGGGACCTGGGTGGGCCAGGAGGGAAGGTTTTCTGTGGACTCCTAGGAAGAGAGGTTGTGAGTTTAGAAGGTGTCTCTCTTTATCATCCCATCCATGGCACCTAGAATGAGTGAGGCTTCCCCTTGCTGGTGTCTGTCTCTCTCCTTCCTCTCTGTGTCTTCATGTTCTTTTCTGTGCCCATAACTCCTGGTGCAGGTCCTTCCATCTGTCTCCCTCCCTCTTCTCTGTCCCTCTGTCTCTAGTCGCCTCTGATTCCCTTCCCACTGGGCTTAGCCTCATCTCTTGGGGTGTTGTATCTATTTCACACTAATGTCTTTCCTGCTGTTTATGTGGGGGTGAAAGAGGAACCAGGATAGGCTGCACATCCAGCCTCTTATCAGCCTGGTTCAATCTCTTTTGGATGAATTGGAATCCTTGGCAGTAGGTATGAACTGATGAATAAGGCAGGCACCAGTGTCCACACACCCTGTTCCTGGTCGGGACTGGGAGCCACTCTTGCCATGCCTGTGCCTTCTCCATGGTGCCAGCTTCCATAGGCTGGCTCCTGGTGCTGGTTTGAGGAGTATCAACCCCTCCCTATGTGGATGGAGCCTGGTGGTGGCATCATCATCCCACACTTGCTCATCTCGGTGTAGCCAACCTTCCCCTTGTTTGGTTCCTTTAATTAATTAATTAATTATGGAGACAGAGTCTCACTCCTTCACCCCAGCTGGAGTGAAGTGGTGTGGTCTAGGGTCACTGCAACCTCTGTCTCCTGGGTTCAAGTGATTCTCCTGCCCTCAGCCTCCCAAGTCGCTAGGATTACATGCGCCTGCCACCACACCCGGCTATCCTTGTGTTGTTTCTTACCTTGTCCTTGACCTGGGTTCCAGTGTTGGTTTCCTGTTGCTGCTGTAGAAAATTATCAGAAGCATGGCAGCAGGAGAGAGCACACTGACCCATTTCACTACTGGAGACAGAAATAGGACCCTGTTTTTCCTGGGCTAAAATCAAGGCATCTGCAGGGCTTCGTTCCCTCTGGAGACTCTGGAGAATCATTTCCTTGACTTTTCCAACCTCTACAGGCCACCTGCATTCATGGCTCCTGGCCTTCCTCCACCTTCAAAGCTGGTGGAGTCTCCCATTGCGCTGCTCTAATCCCCACTCCCCTCTTCCTCCTCCTTTCATGTGGACCCTTGTGATTACACTGAGCCCAGCGGGACAGTCCAGGCTGTCTCCCCATCTCAAGGTCAACTCATCAACAACCTGAGCTCCATCTTCCCCTTCAGTTCCTTCCCCTATAACATAAATAGTCACAGACTCCAGGGATTAGAATGTAGTCATCACTGGGGACAATTATTCTTCCCACCACAGCACCCATTTCCCTGTATTCAATCCCCCTTTACCCCAAATATAGTCAGGGCCTGGGTGATGGGACCCTCAAGGACACGCCCACCAGAAGCTCTGGGATTCAGGAGGTGGGAAAGGAGAATCCAAGACAGGAGCCCTCTGACCTGTGGCCATGATCACCAGGGTGTTGCTGGGTGCCGACCACCCACTGGGGTAGTGTGGGTGTGAACCCCGACATCTGTACGTCCCTGTGTGTGCTGGGGTCACAGGGCCCATGAAAAGGCTCTTCCAGAATATTCTGTTGTAGAGCTCAGTGCCAGGCACCCCATCTTCCTTTTACAGACTGAAGTTGTTAAACCCAAGATAAGAATGACACCGAAGAATCACATGTCCTGGAGGCACCACAGAGCTGGGCCAGGCAGACAGCAAGGGCTTGTCCTGACCACCTTGGGGAGAAGGAGGCACCGCCTTAGAGAGGAGGATGTGGAGCCACCCCTCCCTCCCTGTGCTCTGAAGATTCTCCTCGCTTTCCAAGTTTCTATGGCTGCTATCACAACTTGGTGCCCAGGGCTAAAGGAAGGACCCATCCCGCAAACACAAGGTGTCTCCCTACAACAAAAGTGTCAGCTGAGAACTTTGAGCAAGTGCTGAGTAAGAGACTCCTACTAGATTTTAATACTGTAAGATTACTCACATAAAACAACACAGGGTAGACATGGGGTGGAGGGCATGTCTTTGAGAATGGAATATCAGCAGATGCCTGAATGAAAATAAGCAACTGAGCCCCCATCAGAGGATTTGGAATGTCAGGGCCATGGCTGTGGTTTCCCACCTCTTCTGGTGGAGTGACAGCAGCCACACTGCAGCCCCTACCGTCATGGAAACGCTGAAGTGTGAGTAACACCTTTGTCCTCAGAGGATCTGCTGTTCCTACCACTTCCCCACCACGCACCCCAGCTTTGAGCACCCCAGTCTAACCCTGGTCCCCACAGAACTTGACTCTGCCAAGGGAATGAAAGGCCAGGGAGGCGAGGTCGGAACTGTGGGCCGAGCACCCCAGGGTCCCCTCTTCCTAGTTTATGAGAGGCTCCCTGACAGGACTTCCCTCCTGTTTCAGGAAAATCCTCTTATGTGGGGAGATGACACCCTAAGGTTTGGAGAAGGACTCACCCTCATGTGGCCAGGCCCCCTGCAGCAAGAAGAACCCTGGAAAGAAAGATCATGATGGACCATCCATCTGCAGGCAAACCAGGACTCCCTTGCTGCCCTCACTGGGCTGTGAGTCTTGGTAGGCAGGCCCTTCCTGGACTGAAGTTAAACTCACCCTCAGTGCCTACCTGCACCCAAGAACAGGGCTGTCGGCTGTGCAGAGACCCAGCCTCCAAGCCCAGATCCCCACCACAAGCCCATATCCCCACCACAAGCCCATATCTCCACTCCAGGCCAATATTTCCACCCTAGGCCTGTATCTCCACTCCAGGCCCATATCTCCACTCCAGGCCGATATTTCCATCATAGGCCCATATCGCCAATCCAGGCCCATATCGCCAATCCAGGCCAAGATCTCCACTGTAAGCCCATATCTCCAATCCAGGCCCATATCTCCACTCCAGGCTCAGATCTCCACCCTAGGCCCATATCTCCAATCCAGGCCCATATCTCCACACCAGGCCCATATCTCTACTGAAGGCCAGTAACTCCACCTCCAGGCCCATATCTCCACTCCAGGCCCAGATCTCCACCCCAAGCCCATATCTCCACCCCAGGCCCATATCTCTACTGAAGGCCCGTAACTCCACCTCCAGGCCCATATCTCCACCCCAGGCCCAGATCTCCACCCCAAGCCCATATCTCCACTCTAGGCCCATATCTCCTCTCCAGTCCCATATCTCCACAACCAGGCCCATATCTCCATCCTAGGCCCATATTTCCACTCTAGGCCCAGATATCCACCTCTAGGCCCATATCTCCACTCCTGGCCCAAATCTCCACTCCAGGCCCATATCTCTACTATAGGCCTATAACTCCACCTCCAGGCCCATGTCTCCACTCCAGGCTCCTATCTCCCCTCCAGGTTCCTATCGGCACTCCAGGCCCAGATCTCCACTTCTAGGCCCATCACTCCATCTCTAGGCCCATATATCCACTCCAGGCCCAGATCTCCACTCCAGGCCCACAACTCCACCTCCAGGCCTATATCTCCACCTCTGGGCCCAGATCTCCAACCCCACACTCCCTTCCTCTATTCCCTTCCAGGACTCACCAACACACGCCACGCTGACGACCGTGAGCGACATGGTGCTGCCGGTGCAGACAGGCGGCCGCGCCCCAGCTCAGCTCAGCAGCGCACAGGATGTTATTTGGCGCCCTGCCCATGCAGTTTACATGTTGACCACATCATGGGAGGGTGACGTACGCAGGCTCATTCTACCTTGCATGAGGCCCAGTGGGTGCTCGCTCAAGAGCGGAACACGGCTTCCTGGAAATTGTTCTCACTAGAATTTACACCTAGCGTCCTTCACTATGACCAACTCAAAACACGTCTCAGATCCAACCTCCTGAACACGAGATGCCTAAAATCTGTGCTAACGTGAAAGACTTTTCATGTATTTTTATTGTTTTTATCTGAGATTCAAACTCTTCTTCATGTGTAATATGCAAAATATCTAATAGGTATTATTAAGGTTTTCAGAGTCATTGTGACTAATAAACCATTAGAATTTTTCATGCTTGTATTTCTAGTATTACAGCAGAACCAGTTAAAATGATTTAAATTCCCAGGGAAGGATTATGCAATTATTTACAATCTTAGAATTGTACTTTATCAGCAAAAACCACACCTGTAAATTCTGGAGTTTTGTAGTTTAATCTAAAATTTGTCTCATGACCCAAGATTCCAGAGTCCCAACTCTGGAGTTTGATCTCTCTCTGTCTCTCTGCCTCCCTCATTTTAAATTTTACAGAAATATCCAGTAACATAATGCTATAGAAAATCAAGTTTCCCCAGCACGTCGGGAAGCCGAGGTGGGCGGATCAACTGAGATGAGGGGATTGAGAGCAGCCTGGCCAACATAGTGAAACCGTGTCTCTGCTAAAAATCCAAAAATTAGCCATGCCTGGTGGCAGGCACCTGTAACGCCAGCTACTCAAGAGGCTGAGGCACGAGAATCGCTTGAACCTGGGAGGCGGAGGTTGCAGTGAGCTGAGATTGTGTCACTGCAGTCCAGCCTGGGCGACAGAGCAAGACTCCGCCTCAAGAAAAAAAAAAGCAAATAGCCTATAATAACAAATTAGAGGGCTCTGGCTACTAAATTTAAAGGGTTCTATAAGGCTACATAAAGTGTAGCATCATCAAGAGTGTGGACACAGACAGCCCCTTAGCAGAAACTGTCTAAAATACATCCATGTACACACAGTCCCTTTAGAGTTGACAAAGGCTGCCGTGTGGTTTAAGGTGGCATAGAATGTCTTCTCAATAAATAATATTAAACCAATGGGTTACACCTAGTAAAAAATAAATCTAACTCACACTATAAAAACACTTCTTAGTTTTTATCTAGTTGTACATTTTTTGATTTATATTTAAATTTGAGAAATAAAAGTCATATACGGTCATCCTTCACTATTCGTGGGTGATTGGTTTCGAGATCTCCACTCAGATACCAAAATCTGTAGATGCTCAAGCCTCTTATATGAAATGGCACAGCGCTTGCAAATAACATATGCACATCCTCCTGTATACATGAAATCATCTCTTGATTACTTATAATTCCTGATACAGCCTACACACAGCTTCATTTGTGTCCATTCAACATAGTTATGAGTTTTGGAACTCTGTGGATATTTTCTCTGAATATTTTTGATTTATACTTTGTTCAATAAAGACCTGTAAACCCCACAGATACGGAGGAGTGACCGTATATTTATAGTATGAAAGATGATGTGTTGATATGTGTCCCCATGGAGATGAGACTAACAAGGCCTATGACTCTACAAATGTTTCATTGTGGAATGACTCTGCCAGCTTTCCAGGTCTGCAGAGAGTAACAATGTCACTTGTTCATGTGATTCCCGATCCTTGGAACCTCCTATGTGCTGCATCTTTGGATGGAAATTGGAGTCCCAGAGACAAATGAGGCTCCACACTGCTTCCAGAAGCTCAGAGTCCAGAGGTGAGAACCCGGTGGAGAACAGATGGGATTATATGGACATGGTACTGATAACACCGGAAGCCTTAGGCAAGAAAAGAGTCCCATTACCTAAACCATGAGGGCAGACATGTTTATTTGAAGGAGGGAAAACTACATTGAAATTATTTTAAAAAATATATAAGTTTTACTGCTGACAGAAGGCTGAAAGCTAGTCTGAGGGGAGGTGGAACAGCATGAGGGAAGGTGGAACAGCACGTGTCTAAGTGCCGTGTTAAGAGGGAGCCTCTTGTATGTTTGGAATTGTGAGTTCCTCAGTGTGATTGCAGCCTCAAGTAGACTAGGAAGTAAGCCAGTTAGGTTGGAGAGGTGGGCAGGGGTCAAGTGAAATGGAGAATTGTGGGCTAAGCAAAGGAGTGTGTTTTCTCTCCAGCAGGCAGTGGGGACCTTAGACATTTGTAAGCAAGAGAGAGGCACGTTCAGATTTGTGGTGTGAGGAAGAGCGATGCCCTAAGATGCAGACTCACGCCTTCAGATTCCAGCTGCTGGTACATTGGAGCTGGCAACCCAGTTTTGAGACAGGGCTGTTGTCTCCCTAGAAGATCCCCTCAAGGCCTGACTGTGGTGCTCATGGGCAGGAGACAACTTTGGATCAGGGCTCAGCATTTGGAAGTTCCGTGTACACGATGATATCTGTTGGGGGTGTCTTGGGCCTCTGAGAAGGGTGAGTGATTTTTCTCTGTGTGAAAACGCAGTGATTCAACTGTGCATATGTCACCTCCTGAGGGTCTTGTTCATCAGAGTCCTGGAGAGAGGGAAATCCTGAGTGAGGGAGGGTGCTCACATTTTCCAGGACTCTTTGGGAATAACACTAGCCACGAGGCTGGGCCGAGGAGCACCTACCTCCCTGTTCACTGTTCTGTTCCCTGCAGGCTCTTGGTCCATTACAACAGCATCTGTAGAAGACGGAAGTCAACAAAACAGCTCAGAGGGCACTTCTGGGCCCTCATTTCATAAGCAGATACCAACATACAGGGGGAGACCATAGGAGCCTGAGGTCCCTCAGTTGCCAACAGCAGACTCAGACATTCTATCTCTCTGAGCTCAAGGACCCATCCCATGAATAGCTCTGAGTTCCCATCCCATTGATTCTGTCTCCCACTTTCTGCCTGTCATGGAACCTTCTCCTGGATGTGAGTGGCTGCAGGGGACATGAGGATACAGTTCAGAATCAGGCAATGGTCTGTGAGCTGAAGGCAGGGACAGGGAGTCTGGTGCTCTCTCTAGAAAGTCCTCCCTCTGTGGCTGCTGCCTTGGGCCAGGGACCATCCTGTCTGTGAGGAACACACACCTGAGTGCTCCCATCCTGCTTCCCCACATGGCCCTGAGCTCTCTGGCCTCTGCTTCGTGAGACTTACTTTTTTTGTTGCAGCACCAGCGATGAAGGAGAAAGAAGAGGAGGAGGATGAAGAGGATGATGACCACTGAGGTCCCAATCAGAACATGCAGGTGTCTGGGGTTACCTGGAAGAAGAGGAGACACCAATAAGAAGCTAATCATAGCAGTTCCTCTTTATGAATTGTCTCACATTTCTTGATTGACAGGTAACCACATACAACACCCCTTTAGGACAAGCACCCAGATGGAGGGAGACCCAGCTTTCTCCTGCTTTCTCAGTTATAGCTCTCATAGTAACCATAGAACGTGTTGAGGATACAACTACTTTAGTTGAGATGTTTGACCCCTTCAAACCTCACATTGAAATTTCACCCCCACTGTGGGAGGTTGGGCCTCTTGAGAGGTGTTTGGGTCATGGAGGTGGATCCATCATGAACAGATCAATGCTGTCCCAAGGAGACGGGGTTAGCAAGTTCCCCTTCTATTAGTTCCTGGAGAGCTGGTTGTTCAAAAGAGCTTGGAAGCTCCATCGCTCCCCCTCCCCCTTGCTCCCTCTCTTGCCGTGTGATCTCTGTGGTCTCTGCACAGACAGACCCTCCTTCCCTTCTGCCAGAGTGGGAGCAGCCTGAGGCCGTCACGAGAAATAGATGCTGGTGCCACGCTTCCAGTATAGCCTGCAGAACTGTGAGGCAAACCAATCTCTTTTCTCTAGAAGTTACCCAGGCTCAAGTGTTCCTTTAGAGCAACAAAAATGGACTAAGACAGCAACGTCCTGAGATCAGGAGGAACGTCTCAGAACAGCCTGGGCTGTCTTCCTGTTCTTCCTGGAGGAGGACGTCATGCAGTGCTTTAGCTGAGTGCTTCCTGTGGCTCCACAGTACAAAACCCAGGCTGGGCTGCTCTCTGGCTTCCCCCAGCTACACTGCAAATGGGGTGACTCCATATGTCCCGAGGAGCTTTTCTGAGCCTTGAGGGACTGGCTCACATTGAAATGTAGGTTTCTGTTGTCACTCGCTGCTTATCTGTTAGTAATGAACCTGCCTGTGTAATGTATTCTCTGTGTGTTCTGTCTCCCTGGAGTGACGGTGAGTGATAGGAATTGGCATAAGCCCAGGTGCAGTCCAGGAGGTATTTAGAGTCTTCTCTGGGAAGACTGCACTGGGATTGATACACAGCGAATGTGCTTTAGGATTTCTACATCCACAGCATTCTTGAATCAAACAACTTGCATTCTCCAAGAAAAGGAAACAAAAGTGAAATCAAGATAAAAAAAGCTAAGTAGAATTCTCTTATGTCAAATGGCCAGGAAATAGTGTTGAAGCCCGTGTGAAACGTGCTACTCTTTGTGATCTCGGGAGACACATGTTAGGCTGCTGTTCTACCCGAGAGGCTGGGGGAAGGACCACCCCCTCGGCCATCTATTGCTTCAATACCACCTGTCCTCTTGTGAATTAGTAGGAAAGGGGAGCAGGAGCTAGTGCTGGCACTGATCTCTGATTCCAAGATCTGGACTCACTCCAAGGAGTATCAATGTTTACCTCCCCATAGCCTATCTGAATCTCCACAGGTGATTGGAAGTAGGGGTGAGGTGGGGGATTTGGGTGAGTGGGCAAGTTTTTTGTTGCGATGAACAGAGCACTTTCTCTATTCCACGATCTGTGCTGGAGGATTCTGAGGGCTTTCACATTTTCTATGTGATCTCATTCTCACAGAAAGCCAAATAGGGAAGAGGTTTTAAGCTCATTGCCTAATGGATAAGATAAAGGATCAAAGAAGTAATTATAGAGAAATAGAAAAACGATGATTGGAATTCAGGTGCCTTTGTCATTCGTGTGTGTTTTATTATATTTATGTATTTCTTATTTTTATTTTTTGAGATAGAGTCTCCTTGTGTCCCCCAGGCTGGAGTGCAGTGATGCAATCTCCACTCACTGCAACCTCCACCTACTGGGTTGAAGTCGTTCTCCTGCTTCATCCTCCAGAATAGGAGCTGGGATTACAGGGATGCACCATCGTGCTCGGCTAATTTTTGTATTTTTAGTAGAGATAGGGTTTCACCACGTTGGCCAGGCTGGTCTGGAACTCCTGACTTCATGGAATCCACCCACCTTGGCCTCCTGCAGTGCTAGGTTACAGGCGTGAGCCACTGTTCACAGACTTGTATATTATGCTATAATAAGTCTCTTCATTTCCACCACCACTCATATATCTGTCACTCCTTTGCCAGGTATTGATTTATGTGTAGGATGAATAAATCTCAGAAAGAAATTAATTAAGCGAGGATTAAACAAGTAGGAAAATCAAACCCAGTAAGCCTTTCCAGTCAATGATTCTACCTCACAAACATATCTTATATCCATCTACTTCATTCATTTAGTGTCTAAATCAGCACCACATTTCACCAGTGGGGCGGCAATTGCCTTTTCCACGGTCTCCTAGATTCCAGTTATGCAACTGAGCCTCCCTTATTTTCATGTCCGTCATATTAATCATGTAGGGATTCCTGGTTACCCCGAGGTGAATCCAATGGCTGTGAGTGTCAAACACACACTCCTTGTTGCTCCTTAGTTTCCTGTGTACCCAGTGTGCTCTCCGTCTCCCTACAGTCGTCTTGTCATTCTCCCCACCTCATTCCCAGCATTTGAGGCAGAGCCTCTTCCTTCCACATCAGATTGTTTTCACCTTTGTGCCTTCACGGCTGACAGCTGTGTGTGCAAAATCCTTCCGCCAATCTTTCAGGGGTTCATTCCGTGTTTTTCATTAATGTCACAAATATCTGAATAGTGAGACCTTCTTTGTCACCTGAAATCATACACTCAGCATTATCTATTATTGATTTTGAATTCTGGCTGGGCACAGTGGCTCACGCCTGTAGTCCCATTACTTTGGCATGCTGAGACGGTCGGATCACTTGAGGTTGGGAGTTTCAGACAAGCTTGGCCAACGTGGTGAAACATCCTTTCTACAAAAAATATACAAAAAGAATTAGCCGGGCACGGTGGCAGTTGCCTGTAATCCCAGCTACTCGAGAGGCGGAGGCAGGAGAATCACTTGAATCCAGGAGACGCAGGTTGCAGTGAGCCAAGATCGTGACACTGCACTGTAGCCTGGAAGACAGAGGGCGACTCTGTCTCAATAAACAAAAGAACAAACAAAAAATAGATTTCATGCACAGATGCTTCCCAATGGATCATTCATTTATAGATCCACTTGTGCATTCATTTTCTGCCCTCCCATTTAACCATCTGCAATATCAGTGTCCCAAGGGCAGAGGCCAAATGCATCTTGTTCACCGTTTGTGGAAGGCAGGAGAATGCTGTCCCACCCCAAAATGTCCCTGTCCTAGCCTCCATAGCTTGTGAATATGTTATTTTACATGGAAAGGAGGAATGAAGATTGTAGATGGAATTGCGGTTGCTAATCAGCTGAACTTAAAACAAGGGTATCCTGGATGATTTCCAGGAGATTATGAGGGATTTTCATCTTGGTGAACCCAATAGAATCCCCAAGTTTTCAAAAGATAAGGAAGAAGGGAGAGCAGCATTCAGAGAAAGAGGTGTGGTAAGGAAGAAGGCACTGAGTGATGCCATGTGAGATGTGACCAGTCTTTGTGGGCTTTGAGGAAGGAGGAAGGGGAACAGGAGCCAAGGAACTGGGAGCCTTTAGAAGCTGGGATAAGTGAGAAGCAGATTCTTGCCTGGAATCCTCAGAGGGAAGGCAGCCTTGCTGTCACCTTGATTTTAGCCCAGTAAGATGCACTTCCTACTTTGAGCTACAGCACTGTAAGATAATTAAAAAACCGTTTTGTTTTCACCCACGAATCTTGTGGAAATTTGTTATGGCAACAATAGGAAAAGGTTCCGCACTGCACAGCCTGAGCATGGGGCCGTGGCTGAATGAGTCAGTGAGTCGAAGTGTGCGTGCATGAGCTCCGTTCTCTGTTACGGCAAGGCTGTTGCTCTGCTGAGTCAGCCAGGGTTGCTTCATGACCAACAGTAATTCATTCCTTGGCAAGTGGAACTTCTCTAAAACACCTCGCCCTCATCAGATGTTCCCTTCCCTTCCCTCTCTCAAGCCCCCAGGAATTTATCCTCCAGTTAGGAATGCAGGCAGAACAAACATTGCATTTTTCCTGAGAAGGATGTCAGATTGGCAATCATTCTTCTAGCTTGTAGGAGGTCTCAGCTCCATAAAATGAGAGATTAAGAGATTTCACTGAGCCCTAGGTTGGGCCCAGATCCCTTTCGCTGTTGGAGTATCTGGAGTTCGGAGATGGTAGAAGACAGGCGTACAATGTCAGAGCTGCGAGATGCTGAGTCAATGCCTGCATCGAAGGTTTCTACCTCCCCAGGTTTCCAAAAGCGGATATAAGAGGGTTCTGTACTCACCGGTTTCGGAGCTTGGTTCAGTGGGTGAAGGCCAACTATTTGAAGGGTTTCCTAGAACATGAGACAGGAGAGAGGTGAGGAAATGAGGGTGTCTGTCCTCTACTCAATGGAAATCTTTGAGGTTGGTTCATGGCCAACACTCTGTTATCTAATATTGGGCCCTGGGAGTCCTGGGATCCTTTTTTCCGTAATTTTTGTATGTGACGCCCACTGTCTTGAGACTTCAAGGTATAAAGAGAAAACAGGAGCATCACACTACCTGATCTCAAAATATGTTACAGAGCTGTAGTAAGCAAAACAGCATCACATTGGCATAAAGAAAGGCACGTAGAACAATGGAGCAGAATGAAGAACACAGATATAATCCATGCATTTACCTCCAATGTTTTTTTCTTTTTTCTTTTGAGATGGAGTCTCGCTCTGTCGCCCAGGCTGGAGTGCAGAGGTGCAATCTCGGTTCACTGCCACCACAGCCTCCTGGGTTCAATCAATTCTCTGGCCTCAAACTCCTGAGTAGTGGTATTACAGGTGCTGACCACCATGCTCAGCTAATTTTTATATTTTTAGTGGAGACAATGTTTCATCACGTCGGCCAGACTAATCTTGAACTCCTGGCCTCAGGTGATCCACCCGCCTTGGGCTCCCAAAGTGCTGAAATTGCAGGTGTCAGCCACCATGCCCAGCCCATCCAATGGACTTTGACAAAGGTGCCAAGAACTCACAATCAGGAAAGGACAGTCTTTTCAATAAACAGTGCAGGGAAACCTGGACATCTACATGCAGAGGAATGAAACTGCACCTCTACCTGTCACTATACACAAAACTCAAATGAAAATGGATTAAAGATGTGAGTCTAAGGCCTGAACCTATGAAACACGTAGAAGAAAATATTGGGGAAATGCTCCAGGACATTTGTCTGAAGGAAGACATTTTGTTTTAAACCTTCAAAACACAAGTAATCGAAGCAAAAATAGACCATTGGGATTACCTCAAACTAAGCAACTTCTGCACCGCTAAAAATAAACCAACAAAGTGAAGAGACAACCCACAGATTGGGAGCAAATATGTGCAAACTATGCATCTGAGATGGGATTAATAACTAGAAATATAAGAAGCTCAAACAACTCAATAAAACAAATGATTTAATTGAAAAAGGAGCAAAACACATGAAATTTCCCCACATACTAAAAAGTGCTCAGTTTCACTC
This sequence comes from Homo sapiens, assembly GCF_000001405.40. Taxonomy (NCBI): domain Eukaryota; kingdom Metazoa; phylum Chordata; class Mammalia; order Primates; family Hominidae; genus Homo; species Homo sapiens. The sequence continues at coordinate 20,355 of NT_187683.1, read as the reverse complement.
ATCATCAGAGAAACACAAATTAAAATCAAAGTGAGTTTTCATCTCACCCCATTAAAATGGATTTTAGGCCGGGCGTGGTGGCTCACGTCTGTCATCCTAGACCTTTGAGAGCCTGAGGTGGGTGAATCTCATAAGGTCGGGAGTTTGAGACCAGTCTGACCCACATGGAGAAACACTGTCTCTACTAAAAATACAAAATTTAGTTGGGCGTGGTGGCGTGTGCCTGTAATTCCAGCTACTCGGGAGGCTGAGGCAGGAGAATCGCTTGAACCTGGGAGGTGGAGGTTGTGGTGAGCCGAGATCGCACCACTGCACTCCAGCCTGGGTGACAAGAGCGAAACTCCATCTCAAAATAAAATGAAATAAAATAAAATGGCTTTTAGCTGCAAGACAGGCAAAGGAAATCCTGCCAAAGTGGTAGAGAAAGGAGAACCCTAATACCCTGTTGGTAGGAGTGTAAATTAGTACAGCCTTTACGGAGAAAAGTGTGGAAGTCCTTTAAAGAACTAAAAAGAGGTTGGGTGAGGTGGATCATGCCTGTAATCCCGGCACTTTGGGAGACCGAGGCGGGCACCTCAGTTGAGGTCATGAGTTTGAGAGCAGCCCAGCCAACATGGGGAAACCGCATCTATACTAAAAAAAACAAAAAGTAGCCAGGCATGGTGGTGTGCACCTGTAATCCCAGCTACTAGGGAGGCTGAGGCAGGAAAATCATTTGAACCCAGGAGGCGGAGGTTGCAATGAGCCAAGATGACTTCACTTGTACTCCAGCCTGGGCACAGAGGGAAACTGTCTCAAAAACAAAAACAAAACAACAAACGAATAACTAAAAAGAGAACTTTCATAGTATCCAGCAATTTCACTACTGGGTTTATATCCAAAGGAAAGTAAATCAATATATCGAAGTGATATCTGCACTCGTATGATTGGTGCAGCACTGTTCACAGTAGCCAAGATGTGGAGTCAACCTACCTGCCCATCAGTGGATGAATGGATAGAGAGAATGTAGTACATACGCACAGTGGAGACTACTCATCCATAGAAAGAATAACATCCTGATATTTGCAGCCACATGGATGGAACTGGAAGTCATTACAAAGATTCCCATTTCTCACCCATATACAGAGCTAAAAGGTGGATCTCATGAAGGTAGAGAGTAGAATGGTGGCTTCCAGAGGCCAGGAATAAAAGGGTGGAGGGTAAAAAAAAAAAAAAAAAAAAAAAAAAAATATATATATATATATATATATATATATATATATGTATATATATGTGTGTGTGTGTATATATATATATATATATATATATATATAAATGTATTTATGACCACTAGACTTTACACTTAAAAATGGTAAATGTGGCTGGGCGTGGTGGCTCATGCCTGTAATCCCAGCACTTTGGGAGGCAGATGCGGGTGGATCACGTGGTCAGGAGTTGGAGACCAGCTCGACCAACATGGTGAAACCCCCTCTCTACTAAAAATACAAAAAGTAGCCTGGCGTGGTGGTGCGCGCCTGTAGCACCAGCTACTCAGGTGGCTGAGGCAGGAGAATCACTTGAACCCAGGAGGCGGAAGTTGCAGTGAGCTGAGATTGTGCCACTGCACTCCAGCATAGGGGACAGAGCTAGACTCTGCCTCAAAAAAAAAAAAAATGTTAAAGGTGGTAAGCTATATAGGTATATTTATCCTCAATAAATATTTCTTCAAACAAAAGTAAAGGGTGTAGGGGTTGCTGGTGATGACATCCCTGTGTGGGTGAGAGGCCAGGATGGGCTTCTGGGAAATGGGTAATGTTGAGGGGCTGAGGGAACCTCTGATCTTCCCAAACTGAGCCCAGTCTCTCTCCTCTGCGTCTCTCCTGACCGTTTTCTCCATCTGCCTGTGTGCCTGGAGCCCTGGCCGCGGGCCTTCATGCAGGCCGTGTAGGAGGGTTTGGAGGTGCCCTGTCTGCCATCCTGTGCCCTGATCCCTCCCTCACACCCAAGCTTCGTCTTCTCTCTGCATCTGTCCATGCTTCTCTCCATCATCAGCAGGAAGCTCCTCAGCTAAGGCTCTAGGATCATAGGACATGAGACAGATATGGGGTTTCCTCACCTGTGACAGAAACAAGCAGTGGGTCACTCGAGTTTGACCACTCGTATGGAGAGTCACGGAAAGAGCCGAAGCATCTGTAGGTTCCTCCGTGGGTGGCAGGGCCCAGAGGAAAGTCGGCCTGGAATGTTCCGTTGACCTTGGGCCCTGCAGAGAACCTACGTTCATGGGCCTCCCCCTCCCTGGATAGATGGTACATGTCATAGGAGCTCCGGGAGCTGCAGGACAAGGTCACGCTCTCTCCTGCCAGAACCGTGGGGCCCGGCTGGGCTGAGAGAGAAGGTTTCTCATATAGACCTGGAGGAGAAGAGGCATTTTCCTTACGGAGGATCTTCCTTGTCACAGCTCCCTTCACCTGAGCTGAGAACTCACTCCCCTGCTCTATGACCTAATGCTCTCTCTCTCTCTCTCTCACCCTCCACCCCATCTCTCTTCATGTCTATTTCCTTCTTCCACCTTCTCTGTCTCTCTAGGTCTCTGACCTCGCTTCCCCACCTCTAGATATGTTTTCCCTTTTTGGATTCTTTTATTCTCTCTGACTCTCCTTGGATTGGTTGACTTGATGTTACTTTTTTAAATTCTAAGTTTCTCACGTTGTGTCCTGTTCATAACTTTCTGCATATTTCTATCTATTATCTGTCGATCTATCTATTTATCTATTCGGTGTCTATCTACAAATTCTCTACCTGTCATCTATATCTATATATCATCTATGTATCTATCACTTGTCTATCTATCCATCAATCATCTGTTATTTATATGTATGTATCATCTCTCTCTCTATGATTTCTGTCTGCCTCTCTATCTGTACGTATTATCTGTCTTCATCATCATCATCTCTATGTATTATCTATTAATGAATCAATCAATCATCATCTATGTATCTTTAACCTATTATCTATCATCTACCTATTTATCATCTATCTATATCTATCCATCTATCATCTGTCTTGCTCTGCCTCTCGGTCTCTCTAGCTCTCTTTGGAATCTCTGCAATTCATCCCCACATCTCCATGTTTCTATGTCCTTGTGCCTCTCTCTCAGGACTCTAATTTTAGTGCTTTTCTCTGCTCCCTGCCATCATTCTCACCACTCCTCTGCCCTCTTTTCTCTCTCTTTATGTGTCTGTGAGTCTCTCAATCTCCTTCCTCTGGCTCATTCTCTGTGTGTTTATGTCTTTGCTTTTTGGTGTTCCTGATTTTTCTCTGTGCCTCTCAGTGATCCTTTCATATGTGGGGTTATTTGGAATGTGAGCCACAGAATCCAGTCTGGAGACCACAAGTTCACACAGCATACAGGGGTTGGTGTTCTGGGGCCATGATATCCTGGGACGATTACTCTCCATTACATGGAAGGCAGAGGTGTCAGAATAAACATGGCCTGTAGGTGCCACAAGGCCTGAGGCCACAGGGCCCAACTCAGGTCATAAATATGGGTGTCCTTGGGTTCTCCTGGTAGAGAACACTTTGTGGAGGTAAAACAGAAATGAAACTTCTAACCTGTGCCAGGTCTTGAGCAAAGTCAGCATGGAGGGACACCTCTCTCTGGGACATGTCTGTCTGTCTGTCTCTTTTAACTCTTTCTGTCTTTTCTAACTCCCTGTATGGCCCCTGTGTCTGTCCTCTGTTATGACACCTGGTCTGTACTTGTGTCTCCTGTTTCTCTGTCTCTGTTGGTACAAACCTCAGCAAGTCAGTCTCTCTCCATAAGAATACCAAGCTCATCTTCCTTACAACTACCTGGGGGTTCCAAGTCGTGGATCATTCACTCTGCATCCCAATGACAATGAGAATGTCCGGACACTCTCACCTGTGATGACGATGTCCAGAGGGTCACTGGGAGCTGACAACTGATAGGGGGAGTGAGTAACAGAACCGTAGCATCTGTAGGTCCCTGCAAGGTCTTGCATCATGGGACCGATGGAGAAGTTGGCCTTGGAAACCCCATCATGGTGCTCTCCAATGAGGTGCAAAGTGTCCTTAAACTTCCCTTCTCTGTGCAGAAGGAAGTGCTGAAACCTGACATCTGACCAACATTGCAGGATGACTGTCTCTTCTGATTTCACCAGGGGACCTGGGTGGGCCAGGAGGGAAGGTTTTCTGTGGACTCCTAGGAAGAGAGGTTGTGAGTTTAGAAGGTGTCTCTCTTTATCATCCCATCCATGGCACCTAGAATGAGTGAGGCTTCCCCTTGCTGGTGTCTGTCTCTCTCCTTCCTCTCTGTGTCTTCATGTTCTTTTCTGTGCCCTTAACTCCTGGTGCAGGTCCTTCCATCTGTCTCCCTCCCTCTTCTCTGTCCCTCTGTCTCTAGTAGCCTCTGATTCCCTTCCCACTGGGCTTAGCCTCATCTCTTGGGGTGTTGTATCTATTTCACACTAATGTATTTCCTGCTGTTTATGTGGGGGTGAAAGAGGAACCAGGATAGGCTGCACATCCAGGCTCTTATCAGCCTGGTTCAATCTCTTTTGGATGAATTGCAATCCTTGGCAGAAGGTATGAACTGATGAATAAGGCAGGCACCAGTGTCCACACACCCTGTTCCTGGTGGGGACTGGGAGCCACTCTTGCCATGCCTGTGCCTTCTCCATGGTGCCAGCTTCCATAGGCTGGCTCCTGGTGCTGGTTGGAGGAGTATCAACCCCTCCCTATGTGGATGGAGCCTGGTGGTGGCATCATCATCCCACCCTTGCTGATCTCAGGGTAGCCAACCTTCTCCTTGTTTGGTTTCTTTAATTAATTAATTAATTTTGGAGACAGAGTCTCACTCCTTCACCCAGGCTGGAGTGAAGTGGTGTGGTCTAGGCTCACTGCAACCTCTGTCTCCTGGGTTCAAGTGATTCTCCTGCCCTCAGCCTCCTGAGTCGCTAGGATTACATGCACCTGCCACCATGCCTGGCTTTCCTTGGGTTGTTTCTTAACTTGTCCTTGACCTGGGTTCCAGTGTTGGTTTCCTGTTGCTGCTGTAGAAAATTATCAGAAGCATGGCAGCAGGAGAGACCACACTGACACCTTCCAGTACTGGAGACAGAAATTGGACCCTATTTTTCCTGGGCTAAAATCAAGGCATCTGCAGGGCTTTGTTCCCTCTGGAGACTCTGGAGAATCAGTTCCTTGACTTTTCCAGCCTCTATAGGCCACCTGCATTCATGGCTCTTGGCCTTCCTCCACCTTCAAAGCTGGTGAAGACTTCCACTGGACTGCTCTAATCCCCACTCCCCTCTTCCTCCTCCTTTCATGTGCACCCTTGTGATTACACTGAGCCCAGTGGGACAGTCCAGGCTGTCTCCCCATGAGCTCCATCTTCCCCTTCAGTCCCTTCCCCTATAACATAAATAGTCACAGACTCCAGGGATTAGAATGTAGTCATCACTGGGGACAATTATTCTTCCCACCACAGCACCCATTTCCCTGTATTCAATCCCCCTTTACCACAAATACAGTCAGGGCCTGCGTGATGGGACCCTCAAGGACATGCCCACCAGAAGCTCTGGGATTCAGGAGGTGGGACAAGGAGAATCCAAGACAGGAGCCCTCTGACCTATGACCACGATCACCAGGGGGTTGCTGGGTGCTGACCACCCACTGGGGGAGTGTGTGTGTGAACCCCGACATCTGTATGTCCCTGTGTGTGCGGGGGTCACAGGGCCCATGAAAAGGCTGTTCCAGAATATTCTGTTGTAGAGCTCAGGGACAGGCACCCCACCTTCCTTGTACAGACTGAAGTTGTTAAACCCAAGATAAGAGTGACACCGAAGAATGACATGTCCTAGAGGCACCACAAGGCTGGGCCAGGCAGACAGCAAGGGCTTGTCCTGACCACCTTGGGGAGAAGGAGGCGCCGCCTTAGAGAGGAGGATGTGGAACTGCCCTTCCCTCCCTGTGCTCAGAAGATTCTCCTCGCTTTCCACGTTTCTATGGCTACTATCACACCTTGGTGCCCAGGGCTGAAGGAAGGACCCATCCCGCAAAGACATGGTGTCTCCCTACAACAAAAGCCTCAGCTGAGAACTTTGAGCAAGTGCTGAGTAAAGAGACTCCTACTAGATTTTAATACTGTAAGATTACTCACATAAAACAACACAGGGTAGACATGAGGTGGAGGGCATGTCCTTTGTGAATGGATATCAGCGGATGCCTGAACGAAAATAAACAACTGAGCCCCCATCAGAGGATTTGGAATGTCAGGGCCATGGCTGTGGTTTCCCACCTCTTCTGGTAGAATGACAGCAGCCACACTGCAGCCCCTACCATCATGGAAACGCTGAAGTGTGTGAGTAACACCTTTGTCCTCAGAGGATCTGCTGTTCCTACCACTTCCCAACCACACACCCCAGCTTTGAGCACCCCAGTCTAACCCTGGTCCCCACAGAACTTGACTCTGCCAAGGGGTTGAGAGGCCAGGGAGGCGAGGTCAGAAATGTGGGCTGAGCACCCCAGGGTCCTCTCTTCCTAGTTTATGAGAGACTCCCCGACAGGACTTCCCTCCTGTTTCAGGAAAATCCTCTTATGTGGGGAGATGACACCCGAAGGTTTGGAGAAGGACTCACCCTCATGTGGCCAGGCCCCCTGCAGCAAGAAGAACCCTGGAAAGAAAGATCATGATGGACCATCCATCTGCAGGCAAACCAGGCCTCCCTTGCTGCCCCCACTGGGCTGTGAGTCTTGGCAGCCAGGCCCTTCCTGGGCTGAAGTTAAACTCACCCTCAGTGCCTACCTGCACCCAAGAACAGGGCTGTCGGCTGTGCAGAGACCCAGTTTCCAGGCCCATATCCCCACCCCAAGCCCATATCTCCACTCCAGGCTGATATTTCCACCCTAGGCCCATATCGCCAATCCAGGCTCAGATCTCCACCCTAGGCCCCTATCTCCAATCCAGTCCCATATCTCCGCCCCAGGCCCAGATCTCCACCCTAAGCCCATATCTCCACTCCAGGCCCATATCACCTCTCCAGTCCCATATCTCCACACCCAGGCCCATATCTCCTTCCTAGGCCCATATCTCCACTCCAGGCCCAGATATCCACCTCTAGGCCCATAACTCCACTCCTGGCCCATATCTCCACTCCAGGCCCATATCTCTACTGCAGGCCCGTATCTCCACCTCCAGACCCATATCTCCACTCCAGGCCCATATCTCCACCTCCAGGCCCATATCTCCACCTCCAGGCCCATATCTCCACTCCAGGCCCATATCTCCACTCCAGGCCCATATCTCCACTCCAGGCCCCTATCTCTACTGCAGGCCCATATCTCCATCTCCAGGCCCATATCTCCATCTCCAGGCCCATGTCTCCACTACAAGCCCATATCTCTACTGCAGGCCCATATCTCAACCTCCAGGCCCATATCTCCACTCCAGGCCCAGATCTCCACTCCAGGCCCAGATCTCCACTTCTAGGCCCATCACTCCATCTCTAGGCCCATAACTCCACTTCCAGGCCTATATCTCCAACTCTGGGCCCCGATCTCCATCCCCGCACTCCCTCCCTCGATGCCCTTCCAGGACTCACCAACACACACCATGCTGACGACCATGAGCGACATGGTGCTGTCTGTGCAGACAGGCGGCCGCGCCCCAGCTCAGCTCAGCAGCGCACAGGATGTTATTTGGCGCCCTGCCCATGCAGTTTACATGTTGACCACATCATGGGAGGGTGACGTACGCAGGCTCTTTCTACCTTGCATGAGGCCCAGTGGGTGCTCGCTCAAGAGCGGAACATGGCTTCCTGGAAATTGTTCTCACTAGAATTGACACCTTGCGTCCTTCACTACGACCAGACTCAAAAGACGTCTCAGATCCAACCTCTCATACACGAGATGATTGAATTCTGTGCTTACATTAAAGATTTTTGATGTATTTTTGTTTTTATCTGAGATTCAAACTCTTCTTCATATGTAATGTGCAAAATGTCTAACAGGTATTATTAACATTATCAGAGTAATTGTGACAAGAAGCCATTCTAATTTTCCTGCTTGAGTTTCTACTACTAAACCAGAGGCATCAGAATAGCTTGAACCTGGGAGACGGAGGTTGCAGTGAGCTGAGCTCAAGCCACTGAACTCCAGCTTGGGTGACAGAGGAAGAGTCTGTCTCAAGAAAAAAAAAAAGCAAACTAAATAACCTATAATAACAAATCAGAGGACTCAGGTTACCAAATTTTAAGTGGTTCTATAAGTTTATATAAAATGCAGCATCCTCATGAGAGGGGATACAGAGAACCACTGGACAGAAAACTGTGTCTAAAATACATCTGTGGATACACAGTCCCTTTATAGTTGACAAAGGCTGCCATGTAGTTTAAGGTGGAATAGAATATTTTCTCAACAAATAACACAGGACCATAGGGTTACACGTAGGAAAAAATAAATCTAAACTTATCCTCACACTATAAAAACACTTCTTATTTTTTATCTTGTTGTTGTAAATTTTTTATGCTTTATTTTTAAGATTGACAAATAAAAATTATATACCATGGTCCTTCACTATACCTGGGTGATTGGTTCCAGGATCCCCATTCAGATACCAAAATCTGCAGATGCTCAAGCCCCTTGCATGAAATGGCATAGTGAAGCTGGGCACCGTGGCTCACGCCTGTAATCCCAGCACTTTGGGAGGCTGAGCTGGGTAGATCACAAGGTCAGGAGTTCAAGACCAGCTGGTCCAACATTCTGAAACCCCATCTCTACTAAAAATATACACACAAAAAAATTTATCTGTGCAGGGTGGCACGTGCCTGTAATCCTAGGGGAGGCTACTGGGGAGGCTGAGGGAAGAGAATCGCTTGAACCTGGAAGGCGGAGGTTGCAGTGAGTTGAGATCACGCCACTGCACTCCAGCCTGGGTGAGAGAGTGAGACTGTCTCAAAAAAAAAAAAAAAATAGCATAGCAATTGCATAGAACCCATGCACATCCTCCTGTATACATGAAATCATCTCTTGATTACTTATAATTCCTGACACAGCCTACACGCCACTCAATTTGTGTCGATTCAACATAGTTTTTTGCTTTTTGAAACTTCGGGGATTTTTTTTCTCAAAATATTTTTGATTTATTGCTGATTCAATAAACATGTGTAAACCCCAGAGATATGGAGGAGTGACTGTCTATTTATAGTAGTATGAAAGATGATGTGTTGATACGTGTCCCTGTGGAGATGAGACTAACAAGGCCTATGACTCTACAAATGTTTCATCGTGGAATGACTCTGCCAGCTTTCCAGATCTGCAGAGAGTAAGAATATCACTTGTTCATCTGATTCACCATCCTTGGAACCTCCTATGTGCTGCATCTTTGGATGGAAATTGGAGTCTCAGAGACAATTCAGGCTCCACCATGCTTCCAGAAGCTCAGAGTCCAGGGCTGAGAACCCAGCGGAGAACAGATGGGGTTATGTGGACGTGGTAATGATAACACCGGAAGCCTTAGGCAAGAAAAGAGTCCCATTGACGAAACCATGAGGGCAGACATGTTTACTTGAAGAATAGAAAACTACATTGAAATTATAAAAAAAATTTATAAGTTTTACTGCTGACAGAAGGCTGAAAGATACTCTGAGGAAAGGTGGAATAGCACGTATCTAAGTGCCGTGTTAAGAGGGAGCCTCTTATATGTTTGGAATTGTGAGTTCCTCAGTGTGATCGCAGCCTCAAGTAGACTAGGAAGTAAGCCAGTTAGGTTGGAGAGGTGGGCAGGGGTCAAGTGAAATGGAGAATTGTGGGCTAAGCAAGTGTGTTTTCTCTCCAGCAGGCAGTGGGGACCTTAGACATTTGTAAGCAAGAGAGAGGCATGTTCAGATTCGTGGTGTGAGGAAGAGCGATGCCCTAAGATGCAGACTCACGCCTTCAGAGTCCAGCTGCTGGTACATGGGAGCTGGCAACCCGGTTTTGAGACAGGGCTATTGTCTCCCTAGAAGATCCCATCAAGGCCTGACTGTGGTGCTAGTGGACAGAAGACAACTTTGGATCTGCGCTCAGCATTTGGAAGTTCCGTGTTACACGCTGGTATCTGTTGGGGGTGTCTTGGGCCTCTGAGAAGGGCGAGTGATTTTTCTCTGTGTGAAAACGCAGTGATTCAACTGTGCGTATGTCACCTCCTGAGGGTCTTGTTCATCAGAGTCCTGGAGGGAGGGAAATGCTGAGTGAGGGAGGGTGCTCACATTTTCCAGGACTCTTTGGGAATAAGACTAGCCACGAGGCTGGGCGGAGGAGCACCTACCTCCCTGTTCACTGTTCTGTTCCCTGCAGGCTCTTGGTCCATTACAACAGCATCTGTAGAAGACGGAAGTCGTCAAAACAGCTCGGAGGGCACTTCTGGGTCCTCATTTCATAAGCAGATACCAACATACAGGGGGAGGCCATAGGTGCCTGAGGTCCCTCAGTTGCCAACAGCAGACTCAGACATTCTATCTCTCTGAGCTCAAGGATCCATCCCATGTATAGCTCTGAGTTCCCATCCTATTGATTCTGTGTCCCACTTTCTGCCTGTCATGGAACCTTCTCCTGGATGTGAGTGGCTGCAGGGGATGTGAGGATACGGTTCAGAATCAGGCAATGGTCTGTGAGCTGAAGGCAGAGGCAGGGAGTCTGGTGCTCTCTCTAGAAAGTCCTGCCTCTGTGGCTCCTGCCTTGGGCCAGGGACCATCCTGCCTGTGAGGAACACACACCTGAGTGCTCCCATCCTGCTTCCCCACATGGCCCTGAGCTCTCTGGCTTCTGCTTCGTGAGAGTTACTCTTTTTGTTGGCACACCAGCGATGAAGGAGAAAGAAGAGGAGGATAGCAAAGGGGATGATGACCACTGAGGTCCCAATCAGAACGTGCAGGTGTCTGGAGTTACCTGGAGGAAGACAAGACACCAATAAGAAGCTAATCATAGCAGTTCCTCTATATGAATTGTCTCACATTTCTTGATTGACAGGTAACCACATACAACGTCTCTTTAGGACAAGCACCCAGATGGCGGGAGACCTAGCTTCCTCCTGCTTTCTCAGTTGTAGTAACCATAGAACGTGCTGAGGATACAACTGCTTTAGTTTAGATGTTTGACCCCTTCAAACCTCACATTGAAATGTAACCCCCAGGGTGGGAGGTTGGGCCTCTTGGGAGTTGTTTGGGTCATGGAGGTGGATCCATCATGAACAGATCAATGCTGTTCCAAGGAGACGGGGTTAGCAAGTTCCCCCTCTATTAGTTCCTGGAGAACTGGTTGTTAAAAGAGCTTGGAAGCTCCATCGCTCCCCCTCCCCCTTGGTCCCTCTCTTGCCGTGTGATCTCTGTGGTCTCTGCACAGACAGACCCTCCTTCCCTTCTGCCAGAGTGGGAGCAGCCTGAGGCCGTCACAAGAAATAGATGCTGGTGCCATGCTTCCAGTACAGCCTGCAGAACTGTGAGGCAAACACATTTCTTTTCTTTAGAAGTTACCCAGGCTCAAGTGTTCCTTTAGAGCAACAAAAATGGACTAAGACAGCAACGTCCTGAGATCAGGAGGAACATCCCAGAACAGCCTGGGCTGTCTTCCTGTTCTTCCTGGAGGAGGAAGTCATGCAGTGCTTTAGCTGAGTGCTTCCTGTGGCTCCAGGGTACAAAACCCAGGCTGGGCTGCTTTTTGATTTCCCCCAGATACACTGCATATGGGGTGACTCCACATGTCTCGAGCAGCTTTTCTGAGCCTTGAGGGACTGGCTCACATTGAAATGTAGGTTTCTGTTGTCACTCGCTGCTTATCTGTTAGTAATGAACCTGCCTGTGTAATGTGTTCTCTGTGTGTTCTGTCTCCCTGGAGTGACGGTGAGTGATAGGAATTGGTATAGGCCCAGGTGCATTCCAGGAGGTGTTTAGAATCTTCTCTGGGAAGACTGGATTGGGATTGATACACAGCGAATGTGCTTTACAGTTTCTACCACCACAACCCTCTTGACTCAAAAAAATTACATTCTCCAAGAAAAGAAAGAAAAAATGAAATCAAGATAAAAAAAGTGAAGTAGAACTGACTTAAATCAAACAGCCATGAAATAATGATGTAGCCCAGGAACAACATGCTACTTTTTGTGATCTGCTGAGACATATATTAGGCTGCTATTCCACCCGAGAAGCACGGGGAAGGACCGCCCTCTCCGTCGTTTATTGTTTCAATACAGCCTGTCCTTCTGTGAGTTAGTACGAAATGTGACCAGGGGCTAGTGCTGGCACTGGTCTCTGAGTCCAAGATCTGAGCTCACTCCAAAGAGTATCAGTGTTTACCTCCCCATGATCTATCTGTATCTCCATAGGTGATTGGAAGTAGAGATGAATTGGGGGATTTGGGTGAAGGGGCAAGTTTTATGCCATGAACAGAGCACGTTCTCTATTCCAGGACCTGTGCTGGTGGGTTCAGGAGGCTTTCACATTTTCCATATGATCCCAAGCTCACAGAAAGCCAAATAAGGAAGAGGTTTAACCTGATTGTTTAATGGATAAGATAAAGGGTCAAAGAATTAAACACAGAGAAATAGAAAAATGATGGTTGGTATCCAGTTGCCTTTGTAATTTCTGTGTGTCATAATTATGTATGTTTTATTTTTATTTTTTGAGACAGAGTCCCCCTGTGTCAGGCTGGAGTGCAGTGATGCGATCTCAGTTCAACCTCTGCCTCCAGGGTTGAAGCCATTCTTCTGCTTCAGCCTCCCCAGTCGCTGGGATTACAGGCAGGTGCCAATGCACCAGGCTAATTTTTGTATTTTTAGTACAGACGGGGTTTCACCATGTTGGCCAGGCTGGTCTCAAACTCCTACCCTTAAGTGATCTACCCGCCTTGGCCTCCCAAAGTGTTGGGTTACAGGTGTGAGCCCCCATCCACAGTCTTGTATATTATATTATACTAGGTCCCTTCATTTGCACCACCCCTCATGTGTCTATCGCTCCTCTGCCAGGTATTGATTTAGATGTAGAAAAAAAACACATCTCAGAAAGAAATTAATGAAACAAGGATTAAACTACTAGGAAAAATCAAACCCAGCAAGCCCTCCCTGCAAATGATTCTACCTCACAAGCATAGCTTATATCCATCTTTCATTCATTTAGTGTGTAAATCAACCCTACGTTTCACCAGTGGGGCGGGAATTGCCTTTTCCACGGTCTCCTAGATTCCAGTTACGCACCTGGGCCTCCCTTATTTTCATGTCGGTCACTGTTAATCAGGTAGGGATTCCTAGTTAGCTCTGAGTTGAATCCAAGGGCTGTGAGTGTCAAACACACGCTCCTTGTTCCTCCTTAGTTTCCTGTGTACCCAGTGTACTCTCCGTCTCTCCACAGTCGTCTTGTCATTCTCCCCATCTCATTCCCAGCATTTGAGGCAGAGCCTCTTCCTTGAACTAAGAATGTTTCCACCTTTGTGCCTTCACGGCTGAGAGCTCAGTGTGGAAAATCCTTCCGCCAATCTTCCAAGGGTTGAATCCATTTTTTCCATTAAGGTCACAAATATTATCTGATCAGTGAGACCTTCTCTGTCACCTGAAATTGTATACTCAGCATTATCTATTACTTATTTTAAATCCTGGCTGGGCGCAGTAGCTCTCGCCTGTAATCTTTGCACTTAGGGACGCTAAGGCGGTGGGATCACTTGAGATTGGGAGTTTGAGACAGCCTGCACAACATGGTGAAACCTCATTTCTACTAAAAAATATACCAAAAAAATTAGCCGAGTGTGGTGGCGCACAGCTGTAATCCCAGCTACTCGGTAGGCTGAGGCAGGAGAATTGCATGAACCCAGGAGGCAGAGGTTGCAATGAGCTGAGATTGTGCTACTGCACTCCAGCCTGTGGAACAGAGAGAGACTCTACTCAAAAAAAAAAAGAAAACAAAAAAAACACACACACACAAAAAACCCCAGATTTGGTGCACAGATGCTTCCCAATGGATCATTCATTTATTGGTACCCTTGTGCATTCATTCTCTGCCCTCGCATTTACCCATCTGCAATATCAGCGTCCCAAGAGCAGAGGCCAAATGCATCCTGTTTACCATTTGTGGAAGGCAGGAGAATGCTGCCCCACCCCCAAAATGTCCCTGTCTTAGCCTCCATAGCTTGTGAATATGTTATTTTACAGGAAAGGAGGAATGAAGATTGCAGATGGCATTACGGTTGCTAATCAGCTGAACTTAAAAAGAGGGTACGCTGGATGATTTTAGGGAGATTGAGATGGATTATCTTGGTGACCCCAATAGAATCCCAAAGTCCTTAAAAGATGAGGAAGAAGGCAGAGCAGGATTCAGAGAAAAAGGTGTGGGTAAAGAAGAAGATTCTGAATGATGCCATGTGAGACGTGACCAGCCTTTGTGGGCTTTGAGGAAGGAGGAAGGAGGAAGGGGACCAGGAGCCCAGGAACGTGGGAGCCTCTAGGAGCTGGGAAACGTTAAGGAGCAGATTCTTGCTTGGAACCTTAAAAAGAAATCCAGCCTTACTCTCCCTTTGATATCAGCCCAGTGAAATGCAGTTCATACTTCTGAGTTACAGCACTGTGAGATAATTAAGAAAAACACGTTTTCATCCACGAAGCTTGTGGAAATTTGTTATGGCAACAATAGGAAAAGATTCCACACTGCACAGCCAGAGCATGGGGCATTGGCTGAACGAGTGAGTGAGTGGAAGTGTCGTGTGCATAAATAAGCTAAATTCTCTCTTACTGCACGTCTCTTGCTCTGCTGAGTCAACCAGGGTTGCATCTGGTACACTGCTGATACGAATGTAAATTAGTACAGCCATTACAGAGGAGAAGAGTATGGAAGTTCCTCAAAAAATAAAATGAGGTCGGGCACAGTGGTTCATGCCTGTAATCCCAGCACATTGGGAGGCCGAGGTGGGTAGGTCACTTGAGGTCAGGAGTTGAAGAGCAGCCTGGCCAATATAGCGAAACTCTGTCTCTACTAAAAATATAAAAATTAGCCGAGTGTGGTGGTGGGAGCCAGTAACCCAGCTACTTGGGAGGCTGAGGCTGGGGAATCTCTTGAATCCTGGAGGTGGAGGTTGCAGTGAGCCCAGATGGCGCCACTGCACTCCAGCCTGGGCAACAAGAGTGAAACTGTCTAAAAAAAACAAAAACAAAAACAAAAACCATAAAACAAAATGTAAAAAGACACTTCCAGAGGATCTAGCAATTCCATGACTGGGTGTAAACCCAAAGGAAAGGACATCAGCGTATCGAAGTGACATCTGCACTCCCATGACTGTTCCAGCAGTGTTCACAGTAGCCAAGATGTGGATCAACCTACCTGCCCATCAGTGGGTGAATGGATGGAGAGAATGTGGTACACACACACAATAGGGACAACTCATCCATAGAAAGAGTAACATCCTGTCATTTACAGCCACATGAATGGAACTGGAGGTCATTACAAGTATTTCCATTTCTCACTCATATGCAGGAGCTAAAAGGTGGATCTCACAAAGGTAGAGAGTAGAATGGTGGCTACCAGAGGCCAGGAAGGGAAGGGTGGAGGGTAAAAAAAAAAGAATACTAATTAATTAATTAATTAATTTTGAGAGAGTGTCTCTCTCTGTTGCCCAGGCTGCAGTGCAGTGGCATGATCTCAGCTCACTGCAACCTCCGCCTCCTGCAATTAAGTGCAACTCCTGCCCAACCCTACCAAGTAGCTGGGACTACAGGCATGTGCCACCATGCTCGGCTAATTATTATCATTATAATTATTATTTTGTATTTTTAGTACAGATGGATTTTCCCCATGTTGGCCAGGGTGGTCTTGAGCCCCTGATCTCAAATGATCCACCTGCCTTGGCCTCTCAAAGTGTTGGGATTACAACCGTGAGCCACCGTGCCCAGCCTATAAATGTATTTATGAACAGTAGACTTCACACTTAAAAATGGTAAAGGTGGTAAATTACATAGGTATATTTCACCTCAATAAATATTTCTTCAAACAAAAAGAAAAGGGTGTAGGCGTTGCTGGTGATGACATCTCTCTGTGGGTGACAGGCCAGGATGGGCTTCTGGGAAGTGGGTAAGGTTGAGGGGCTGAGAGAACCTCTGATCTCCCCAGGCAGAGCCCAGTCTCCCTCCTCTGGGTCTGTTCTGACCTCTTTCTCCATCTGCCTGGGTGCCTGGAACCCTGATCAAGGGCCTCCTTGCAGGCCATACAGGAGGGTTTGGAGGTGCCCTGTCTGCCATCCTGCGCCCTGACCCCGCCCTTACACCCATGCTGTGTGTTCTGTCTCGGCATCTGTCCATGCTTCTCTCCATCATCAGCAGGAAGCTCCTCAGCTATGGCTCTAGGATCACAAGACATGGGACAGGCATGGTGTTTTCTCACCTGTGACAGAAACGGGCAGTGGGTCACTCGGGTCTGACCACGCGTGGGGCAGGGCACGGAAAGAGCCGAAGCATCTGTAGTTCCCTCCGTGGGTCACAGGGCCCAGAGGGAAGTTGGCCTGGAATGTTCCATTGACCCTCAGCACTGCAGTGAGCCTAAGTTCACCGGCCTCTGCCTCCCTGGATAGATGGTAAATGTCAAACAAGCTCCGAGAGCTGCAGGACAAGGTCACATTCTCTCCTGCCTGAACCGTGGGGTCCGGCTGGGCTGAGAGAGAAGGTTTCCCATATAGACCTGGAAGGAGAAGAGGTGGTTTCCTCAGGGAGGTTCTTCCTTGTCACAGCTCTCCTCACACCTGAGCTGAGAACTCACTCCCCTGCTCTATGACTTAATGCTCTCTTTCTCTCTCTCACCCTCCACCCCCATCTCTCTTCATGTCTATTTCCTCCTTCCACCTTCTCTGTCTCTCTAGGTCTCTGACCTCACTTCTCCATCCCTAGCTATGTTTTCTTTTTTTGTACCATTTTATTCTCTCTGACCCTCCTTGGACTGGTTGACTTGATCTTCCTCTTTCTTTAATTCTGAGTCTCTCACTTTCTGTCTTGCTCATAACTTTCTGCATATTTCTATCTACTATCTATTGATCGATCTATCATTTATCTATGTATGTATCTATCATCTATCATCATCTGTGTATCTATGACCTATCTCTCTGTTATCTATCATCTATCAATCAATGTATGTATGTATGCATCTATCCATCTATCATCATGTGTTTATCTGTCTTTCTATCTCTCTATATCTATTTATATATCATCTGTCTGTCTTTCTACTTGTCTATCTATATCATCTATCAGTCATTCATCATCTATTTGTCTATCACCTGTCTCTCTATTATCTATCATCTACCTTTTATCTTTCATCTATCTATATCTATCTGTCCATCTATCATCTGTCTCTCTCCATCTCCTTGTCTTTCTCTGCCTCTCAGTCTCTCTAGTTCCCTTTTGGAGTCTCTGCAATCCATCCTCACATCTTTATCTTTCCCTGTCTTTGTGCCCCTCCCTCAGGGCTCTGATTTTAGGGCTTTTCTCTGCTTCCTTCCATCATACGCTCCACTTCTCTGCCCTCTTTTTCTATCTCTTTATGTGTCTGTGAGTCTCTCAATTCCCTTCTTCTGGCTCATTCTGTGTGTGTGTTCATGTCTTTGCTTTTTGATTTCCCTGATTTCACTCCGTGTCTCTCTGTGGGCTTTTGTTCTCAGTAATCCTATAACATGTGGTGCTATTTGAATATGAGCCTCAGAATCCAGTATGGGGACTCCAGGAACTCACAGCATACAGGGGTTGGTGTTCTGCTCCCTCACCTGGGGCCATGGTGTCCTGGGACGATGACAGCTCCACTGCACGGAAGGCAGAGGTTTAAGAATAAACACAACATCTGTAGGTGCCACCAGCCTGGGGCCACATGGCCCAACTCAGGCCAGATAGATGTGTCTCTTTGGGTTCTCCTGGGAGAGAACACTTTGTAGAGGTAAAACAGAATGGAACCTTCTAACCTGTGCCTGGTCTCTGAACAAAGTCAGCATAGAAGGACACCTCTCTCTGGGATATGTCTGTCTCTCTGTGTCTTCTTTACCTCTTTATCTCTTTTTCTAACACCTTGTATGGCCCCTGTGTCTGGCTTCTATGTTATGACATGAGGTCTGTACTTGTGTCTCCTGTTTCTCTGCCTTTGTTGGTACAGACCTCACCAAGTCACTTTCTCTCCATAGGAACCCCACACTCATCTTCCTCATGACCACCTGGGGCTTCCAGTCCTAGATCATTCACTCCATCTCCCAGCAAGGGTGAGAGGCAGGTCTGTATTCTCTCACCTACGACCACGATGTCCAGAGGGTCACTGGGAGCCGACAACTCATAGGGTAAGTGAGTGACAGAACCAAAGCATCTGTAGGTCCCTGCAAGGGCAGGTGTCATGGGACCCATGGAATAGTTGACCTGGGAACCCGCATCGTGGAGCTGTCCAACGAGGCGCAAGGGGTCCTCAGTGATCCCCTCTCTGTGCAGAAGGAAGCGCTCAAACCTGACATCTGACCAACATTGCAGGATGACCGTCTCTCCTGATTTCACCAGGGGACCTGGGTGGGCCAGGAGGGAAGGTTTTCTGTGGACTCCTAAGAAGAGAGGTTGTGAGTTCAGAAGGCGTCTCCCTTTCTCATCCCATTCATGGGACCTGAAATAAGTGAGGCTTCCCCTCCATGGTGTCTATCTCTCTCCTTCCTGTCTGTGTCTCCGTGTTCCTTTGTGCCCATAACCCCTGTTGCAGGTCCCTCCATCTGTCTCCCTCCCTCTTCCCTGTCTCTCTGTCTCTAGTAGCCCTGATTCCCTTCCCACTGTGCTCAGTGTCACCTCTTAGGCTGTTGTATCTGTTTCCCACTAATCTCTTTCCTGGTGTTTATGTGGGGGTGGAAGAGGAACCATGACAGGCTGCATGTCCAGGCTCTTAGCAGCCTGAATCAATCTCTTTTGGACAGATTGGAAAGGCCGGCAGGAGGTACGAACTCATCAGTAAGGCAGGCATCAGTGTCCCTGTTCCTGATGGGGATTGGGAGCCTCTCCTTTCATGTCTGTGTCTTCTCCATGGCCCCAGCTTCCATAGGGTGGCCCCTGGTGCTGGTTCCAGGAGCATCAACCCCTCCCTATGTGGATCGAGCCTGGTGGTAGCATCAGTATCCCACCCATGCTAAAATCAGTGTAGCCAAACTTCTCCTTGTTTGGTTTCTTAACCTGTGCTTCACCTGGGTTCCTGTGTTGGTTTCCTGTTGCTGCTGGAGAAAATTGTCACAAACATGGGGCAGGAGAGAATACAATGACCCCTTCCACTTCTGGAGAACAGAAATCGGACCCAGTTCTCTCTGGGCTAAAATCAAGGCATCTGCAGGGCTGTGTTTCCTCTGGAGACTCAGGGAAGAATCAGTTCCCTTGACTTCTCCAGCCCTTAGAGGCCACCTGCCTTTGTGGCTCATGGCCTTCCCCCATCTTCAAAGCCTGCTGTGGCTGATGGAGTCTCCCTCCCACGACGTTGCTCTAACCCCACTTTCCTCTTCCTCCTCCTCTCATGAGGACCCTTGTGATTACTCTGAGCACAGCAGGACAGTCCAGGCTGTCTCCCCATCGCAAGGTCAACTCATCAACAACCTGAGCTCCATCTTCCTCTTCAGTCCCCTGCCCTATAACATAAATAGTCACAGGGTTCATGGATTACCATGTAGCCATCACTGGGGACAATTATTCTTCCCACCACAGCAACTATTTCTCTGTACTGAATCCCCCTTTACCCCAAATACAGTCGGGGCCTGGATGATTGGACCCTGATGGACGCCCCCACCAGAAGCTCTGGGATTCAGGAGGTGGGACAGTGAGAAGCCCAGACAGAAAGCCTCTGACCTGTGACCATGATCACCACAGGGTTGCTGGGTGCCGACCACCCAGTGGGGGAGTGTGGGTGTGAACTGCAACATCTGTAGGTCCCTGCATGTGCTGGGGTCACAGGGCCCATGAGAAAGCTGTTCCGGAATATTCTGTTGTAGAGCTCAGGGACAGGCATCCCGTCTTCTTTGGACAGACTGAATTCATTAAACCCAAGACGAGAGCGACACTGAAGAGTCACATGTTGTCCTTCAGACACCACAGTGCCGGGCCAGGCAGAGAGGAAGGGCTTGTCCTGACCACCTGGGGGAGAAGGAGGCACCACCTTAGAGAGGAGGATGTGGAGCCGCCCCTCCCTCCCTGTGCTCAGAAGATTCTCCCATTTCCATGTTTCTAAGGCTCCTACCACACCTGGGTGCCCAGGGCTACAGGAAGGACCCATCCCGCATAGACATGGCGTCTCCCTACAGCAAGTGTCAGCTGAGAACTTTGAGCAGGTGCTGAAGAAGCGACTCTTACTAGATTTTAACAGT